>NC_000016.10:60017045-60320075 GCF_000001405.40 Homo sapiens
TTAAATTTCTCCCTAGAATATGGGTTTTTCTTTTCTACCACATGGTCAGGCTGCAAATTTTCCAAATTGTTATGCTCTGCTTCCCTTTTAAACATAAGCTCCAATTTCAAATCATCCCTTTGTGAATACATATGACTATATTCTTTTAGAAAAAGCCAGGTCACATCTGGAATACTTTGCTGCTTAAAAATTTCTTCTGCCAGCTACCCTAAATCATCTCTCTCAAGTTCAAAGTTCTGCAGATCTTTAGGGCAGGGGCAAAATGCCACCAGTATCTTTGCTAAGGTATAGCAAGAGTGAACTTTACTCCAGTTCCCAATAAGTTCCTGATCTCTATCTGAGACCACCTCAGCCTAGACTTTATTGTTCATATCACTATGAACGTTTTGATCAAAACCATTCAACAAGTCTCTTAGAGGTTCCAAACTTTCCCACATCTTCCTGTCATCTTCTGAGGCCTCCAAACTGTTCCAACTTCTGCCTGTTACCGAGTTCCAAAGTTGCTTCCATATTTTTAGGTATCTTTATAGAAGTGCCCCACTTTGCTGGTACCAATTTACTGTGTTAGTCCATTTTCACACTACTGTGAAGAACTGCCTGACACTGGGTAATTTATAAAGGAAAGAGTTTAATTGACTCACAGTTCAGCATGGCTGAGGAGGCCTCAGGAAACTTACAATCATGGGGAAAGGCAAAGGAACCTTCTTCACAAGGCAGCAGAAGAGAAAGAACACACAGGGGAAACTGCCACTTGCAAACCATCAGATCTCATGAGAACTCCCTCACTATCACAACAACAGCATAAAGGAACTGCCCCCATGATCCAGTCACCTCCCACCAGATCCCTCCTTCAACACATGGGGATTACAAATGGAGATGAGATTTGGGTGGGGACACAGAGCCAAATTATATCAAGTACTTAGAGAATAATTTGGAGGCTTCTTTTTTATTTATTTGTATTAATTTATGGGGTGTAAGTGCAGTTTTATTATATAGAGATATTGCATAGTGGTGAAGTCTGGGCCTTTAGTGTAATCATCACCTGTATAATATACATCATACCCATTCAGTAATTTTGAATCATCCACCCCTTCCTCCCCCTCACCTTTCTAAGCCTCCATTATCTATCAATCTACTCTCTACATCCATGTATACATATTTATTAGCACCCACTAAGAAGTGAGAACATGCCATATTTGACTTTCTGTGCCTGGCTTGTTGCACTTAAGATAATGACCTCCAGTTACATCCATGTTGCTGCAAAAGACATAACTTCAATAATTTTTATGACCAAATAATAAGCCATTGTGTATGTAGTCCACATTTTCTTTATCCAATCATACATTGAGAAATACTTGGGTTGATTCCATATCTTTGTTATTGTGAATAGTGCTGCATTAAACATCTACATGCAGGTATCTTTTTAATGTGTTGATTTCTTTTTTTTTCCCTCTGGGTAAATACCCAGTAGTGAGATTGCTAGATCAAATGGTAGTTCTATTTTTAGTTCTTTGAGAACTCTCCATACTCTTTTCCATAGAGTTTGTACTAATTTACATTCTCACCAACAGTGTATGCTAGTTTCCTTTTATCCACACCCTCACTGACATCTGTTATTTTTTATCTATTGACATCCATTCTCACTGGGGTAAAATAATATGTCATTGCTTTTTTAATGTGCATTTCTCTCATGATTAGCGATGTTGAACACTTTTTCATATATCTGTTGGCCATTTGAATGTCTTTTTTTGAAAAATGTCTAATGACCTTTGACCACTTTTTTAATGGGATTTTTCTTATTGTTGTTGAGTTTTTTTTGAGTCCCTTGTGCATTCTGGATACTAGTCCTCTGTCAGATGAGTAGTTTACAAACATTTGCCTCCATTCAACATATTGTCTCTTCATTCTGTTATTTCTTTTGTTGTGCAGAAGTTTTAAGTTTAACTAAGTCTCATTCGTTTTGGTTGCCTGTGTTTATAAGGTCTTAGTCATACATTTTTACTTAGACAAATGTTCAGAAGAAATTTCCATAGGTTTTCTTTTAGTGTTTTTATAGTTTTGGGTTTTATGTTTGTCTTTAATCCATCTTTATTTTTGTATATGGGGAGTGATAGGGATCCAGTTTTATTCTTCTCTATATGACAATCCAATTTTCCCAGCAGCATTTATTAAAGTGACTGTTCTTTCCTCAATGTATGTTCTGGTCGGCTTTGTCAGAGGTCAGTTAGCTAGAAATATGATTTTATTTCTGATTTTTCTATTCTGTTCCATTGATCTGTATATCTATTTTTATACCAGTACAATGCTGTTTTGGTTCCTGTAACTTTGTAGTACAATTTGAAGTCAGGTAGTATGATACCTCCAGTTTAGTTCTTTGTGCTTAGGATTGCTTTGGCTTTTTAGACAATTTTTTTGGTTCTACATAAATTTTAGAATTGTTTTTTCTATTTCTGTGAAAACTGATGTTGGTATTTTGATAGGGATTGCATTGAATCTGTAGTTTGCCTTGAGAAGTGAAGTTATTTTAATTTTAATGATGTTAATTCTTCTGACCCATAAACATGAAATGTTTTTCCAATTGTTTATGTCCTTTTCAATTTCTGACATCCATGTAGAGATATGTTCCCTGTAGAGATATTTCACTTCCTTGTTTAAATTTATTCCTAGGTATTCTTTTTATTTGTTTGTAGCTATTGTAAATGAGATTGCCTTCTGATTTTTTTCTCAGATTGTTATTGGTTAATATAAATGCTACTAATTTTTGTACATTGATTTAGTAACCTGCAACTTTATTAAATTCATTTATTAAATTTAAGAGTTTTTTGTTGAGTATCTAGGTTTATTTAGATATAAGATCATATCATAAGCAAACAGTGACAATTTGTCTCTTTTCCAATTTGGATGCCCTTTCTTTCTCTCACCTGGTTGCTCTAAGACTTCCTGTACTATTTTGAATAGAAGTTGTGAAAGTGGTCTTGTTTCAGTACTTAGAGGAAATGCTTTCAACTTTTCCCCATTCAGTATAATGTTGGCTGTGGGTTTGTCATATGTGGCTTTCATTATTTTGAAATATGTTCCTTCTATATCTAGTTTGCTGAGGTTTATTATCATAAAGCAGTGCTGAATTTTATTGAATGCTTTTTCTACCTCTATTGAGGTAATCATATGGTTTTTGTTCTTGATTCTGTTCATGTGATGTATGGAATTTATTGATTTGTGTATGCTGAACCATCCTTGCATCCCTGGTATAAAATCCACTTGATCATGGTATGCTCTTTTCTATGTCCTGTTGGATGTGATTTGCTAGTATTTTACTGAGGATTTTTGTATCTATGTTGAGGACACTGGTGTGTCATTTTCTTTTTTCATTGTGTCCTTGTCTGGTTTTGGTATCTGGGTGATACTGGCCTCATAGAATAAATGACAGAGAATTACCTCCTCTTCAATTTCCTGAAATAGTTTTAGGAGAATTGGTATTCATTCTTCTATGTATTTTTGGTAGAATTCAGCTGTGAATCCATCTGATCTTGGGCATTTCTTGTTGGGAATAATTTTTAAAAAAATTTTAATTAATTAAAAAAAAATTTAAAAAAAATTTTTTAAATTTAAAAATTACTTATTCAATCTTGTCTCACTACTTTTGATTTTCTGTTCTGGATTTCAATTTCTTCCTGATTTAAGCTTGAAAGAGTGAATGTTTCTAGGAATTTATTCATTTCCTCTAGGTTTTCTAGTTTGTGAACACAGTTTTTCATAGTGGTCTCTGATCACAAACCCATAGTTAACATTATACCAAATAGTAAATATTTGAAATCTTTTTCTCTAAGATCTGGAAAAAACACAGCTGTTCACTTTTACCACCCTTATTTAACATAGAATTGGAAGTCTTAACCAGAACAATCAGGCAAGGGAAAAGAATAAAAAGATCCAAATTTGAAAAAAGAAGTCAAATTGTTCCTCTTTGCTGATGGCATAATCTTTTATACAGAAAACCCTAAAGATTCTACCAAAAAACAGTTCAAACTAATAAAAAATTCAATAAATTTACAGAATACAAAAAACATACAAAATTTTGTGGAAACTGTAACATTCATTTATCGATGGATGAAAGACAGCTGGAGGCATCACACTATCTGCATGCATTTGGCAAGGGGTTAACAGAAAATAGAAGAAACTTAACTCAACAAAATGCTCTTTTTAAAAAAATGGACAATATATCTGAAAAGACATTTCTTAGAAGAAGACATACAAATGGCCAACAAGTATTTGAAAAAATGCTTAACATCACTAATCATAAAGGAAATGCAAATTGGTACCACTAACAGTGACTCATAAAAGAATGTTACAATAGCTACAAAAAAAAGATATCTAGGAATAAACTTAAAGAAGATAAAGGATTCCTATACCAAAAATTATAATACATTGATGAAAGACATTGAGGGGCATACAAATAAAATGAAAGACATCCAGTGTTCTTGGATTGGAAAAACTAATATTGTTAAAATGGTCATATTATCCAAAGCCATCCAGAGATGTAATGCAATCCCTCTCAACACACCTAAAATTCACAGAAATTTTTTTAAAATCCTAAAAGTCACATGGAACCACAAAAGACCCCAAGTGGCCAAGGTAAGTCTGAGCAAAAAGAACAAAGCTAGAGGCATCACATGGTAATGACATAAAAACAGACACATAGAACAATGGAATAGAATAGAATGCACAGAAATAAAATCATGTACCTATAGCCAACTGATTTTGCCAAAGGCACCAAAAACACACATTGGGAAAATGCAGTCTTTTCTATAAATGGTGCTTATAAAATTAAATATACACATGTAGAAGATGTGGAAGAAACTAGGTTTCTACCTCTCAGCATATGCACATACCAACTGAAAGTGAATTAAATAGTTAAATGTAAACTCAAAATTATGAAACTACTAGAAAAAAAAGAAAATGTTTCATAAAATTGGGCTGGGCAAATTTTTTTAATATAAGATCTCAGAAGCACAGACATGAAAGCAAAAATAGACAAATGGGATCAAACTAAAATGCTATGACACCAGAGAAAACAATTAACAGAATGAAAAGACAGCCTACAAAATGGGAGAAAATATTTGCAAATCATGCATCTGACAAGGGGTTAATAGCCAGAAAATAGAAGAAACTTAAATAACCAGATGGCAAAAACAAAATAATCCTATTTAAAAATGGGTAAAATATCTGAAAAGAAACTTCTCAGAAGACATAAAAATGGCCGATAAGAATATGAAAAAGTGCTTGACATTACTAATCATAAAGGAAATGCAAATCAATACCACAATGAGATACCATCTCACTCCATTATAATTGCTATTATAAAGAAGATAAAAGAAAATAAATGTAGATGACGATATTGAAAAAGGGAACACTTCTATACTGTGTACAACATACTGAGGTTGTAGATTAGTAGATTCATTATGAAAAACAGCGTGGAGGCTTCTCAAAACATCAGAAATAGAACTACCATATGATCCAGGAATCCTATTACTGGGTATACACTAAAAGGAAATAAAATATGTAAAAGAGATATCAGCACTCTCACGTTTATTGTAGCACTATGCACAATAACCAAGATATGGAAGCAACCTCACTGCACAACAAAGGATGAACAAAGAAAGAAAATATGATCTATATTCACAATGGAACACTATTCCACCATAAAATGAGTGAAATTTGTCATTTCTAGCAACATGTTTGAACGTGGAAAACATCATGTTACAAGAAATGAACCAGAAATAGGAATATACATACTGTATGATCTCACTCATATGTGGAAGCTAAAATAAATGAAACAAACAAAAAAGCCAAAAACAGTTGATGTCATAGAAGCAGAGAGTAGAATAGTGTTTACCTGAAAAGAGAGGCTTTTTAATATTCTTACCACAAAAGAAATGATAAATGCATGGGGTGATGGATATGCTAACTATCCTAATTTGATTATTATATAATATATATGTATTAAAACCTCAAATTCTACCCCATACATATGTACAATTACAATGTGTCAATGAAAAAACTATATGTATATTGTATATATGAGACACATCTCATTTTCTTTTTTGATGGGTCTGTTTTTTTATAAATAATATCAGGATATTAAATCTTGATATATTAAAATATCCTGATATATTAAAAGATTCTGATATATTAAAATCTTAAAATATCCTGATATAACAGGAGATTTAAAAAAATAAAATAAAAAGACCCATTGTCTTTGTCCATTTTGTGTTGCTGTAAGAAACTACCTGCTGAGATTGAGTGATTTATGAAGAAAAGAGGTTTATTTAGCTCATGATTCTGCTGGCTGGAAAGAATGAGAAACATTCCACAGGCATCTGCTGGGCTTCTGGTGAGGGCCATGTGCTAGATAAAAACATGGCAGAGAGGGTCAAAAAGAAAGTATCCATGTGGGAGGAGAGACCAAACAGAAGGAAGAAACTCCCTTTATAATAACCTACTCTCACTGGAGTTAATTCATTTTCAGAGAACTAATCCCATCTCCCCAGAGTGAGAACCCAATACCATAGGAACAGCACCAAGACATTCGTGAGGGCTCAACACCTATGACTTAAACACCTTCCACTAGGCCTTATTTCCCATCACTGCCAATTGAAGATCAAATTTCAACAACTTTCGGTGGGGACAAAACAATCATATACAAACCATAGCACACAAATTTTCCTTTTGATTTTGGTTTCTAGGAAGTACAAAATAAGTAATTAATGTAATAAATACTATATTTCTGGTCCCAAGACAATTATCCTCCTCTTATTTGGCCTAATTCCCTTTTTTAATAGTGTAAGTCATGTCAAATCATTTTTAGATATAGATAGAGTATGATGTATTAATTACTCCCACACACAAATTAATTGTGCTGTTATAATCCAACTCAATGAGTTCATATGATGGAGAAAAGGTTTAAAAAGTGAAGGTAGGATGGTTGACATGAGCTAAATTAAAATTTAGTATCAACTTTAACCATCTGGAAAGCGTACATTTTTAGAGTCCATTATTTTAATTTATAACTTAATAGAACATGTATATTGCTGGCTGCATAAATTTCAGGTGTCCTACATATTAAATGATTAAACAAACACATTCCCCGTTTCAACACTTCCATAAAATAAACTAAAGTCATGCTCTGCCTATGACAAATATTGATTTGCTTTGCTGTTTCAAAATACTTTTAAAAATTATGTCTGTGATGGACAGCTTGTTCCTTTCTTTGCTGCATGCATCCCAGAGTTAGTACTCAAATGATTGAGTTTTTTTTAATACAAAGAAAATTTTATTTGTACATTAAAGACTCTAAGAAATGATGACATAAGTTAACAGAGTTGATGTCAAGACACAAATAGGTTTGACGTTATAGATGATAAATCACTTTGTTTTAATGAACCTTCCCTTGATTAGGTTAGAGAGCATCCCTGGTACGCTCCCAGTTGAATCTTAAGCATGATGCGTCCAGGTGATATAATCGTAATTCCTTTCTGTTAGTTCTTGTGATCTCTCTTTTTTTTTCTTTTTCTTCTTTTTCTCTGGACTAGGAATTGTTGTGCTGGTACATGGTTCTTCCTCAGAAAGTGGTTCTTCCTTAATGTGTTTCTTTTTACCTTTTTTTCTTCTTCTTCTTCACAGGTGTTTCTTCTTCTGCCACTTTTTCTTCTTATTCCTCTTCTTCAGCTTTAACTTTAATCTTGGCTTTTTTTTTTTGCATTCTTTTCAGTAATTTCATCCTCTTTATCTACCTGTTCTATTTTGCATTTTTTAGAACAGGTTGGAGGTGTGGAGTCACCAGAAGAATCATAAGTCTTCATTTCAATAAGCGTACATTGTTTTTTCATTTTAGTGGCTTTGGGGTAGTTTATGAAGACTAATAGTTTCCAAAAAGTAAAGGTATTAATATTTTTCAAGTAGGTTAGTCACATTCAAGAGAAGTGGTGAGCTAAATGAATTCTTTTGTGTTCATATTTTTCTGTTTTTACTAATGCCTTTCCTGTTCCACTTATTTTTCTTATCCCTCTATCTTCCAAAGTTCTCAACCTACCCTTTAATTTAAAACATCATTCAAAAGAGTATAAGAAAATTATCTGTATTCCTTCTTCTGTGGCATGAAATGTTTAAAGGGACTTCCTGTTTCTAGCAAAGTGTATCTACTGGCTATGCACCCCTTTCATTTTGAATTCAGAAGCATATTTTTCTGACTTCTAGATTCTTCTAAATTATTGAAATTCATTATTCTTCATGATTTTCCTTTCAACTCACCAATAGGAGAAAGGACAAGGAATGTTCTCCCAAAGGGCATTTTCCCTACTTGGCCCTAAAAATGATATTAATTAACAATCATGGTAAATAATATTGATAAAGTAAATAATGAAATTAATAAGAATTAATAATGATATTAATAACATCTCTCTTTTTTATTAAGTTTTTAAATAAAATTCTATATGTTTTATGTTTTAAAAAAATTCTGTATGTTTATGTTTTAAAAAATTCTCTTTTTTTAATAAAAAAGAGATTTTTAAAAAATAAAAATCTAATTTGATTAGTGTTGGGAAAAGTGAGGGTAAAAGGGAAGGAAGGAAAGAGCAATCAAAATTGCATCCCTGACAAGATGACACTTCACATCACTTAAAAATCTACATTATTTTAATTTTAGTTATCTATGAAATAGATTGACAGATGATATTATTAGATTTCTGAACAAACATGTATATATGAGGATACTTATTACAGTATTATTTTAATAGTTTACAACTTTAAAAAAACAAAAATCCAATTGAAGGGTGATTGAATAGACTATAGTACACAAATTACTTTAATGGCTCCATGTTCTCCATATTTTCAAGCAATTTTAAATGTATGACGTTGCACACTTTTTTTCATATAAGATAAACAAGCATAAGTGCACATTTTAAAAATACACACATATTCACAGAAAAAAAATATGAATGTCACCTCCTGGAGGTGGAATTGGAGTTTCAATCTTTGATAAGAGGCTACTAAATGGAATCAAAAAGTGTAATAAAATCATAAATGTTGATGAACGGATATTTAAATCTTGAACTTATAAACACACAGGGTATTTATCAGAGTTCTCCAGAGAAACAGTAACCAAATAAAAACAGATTTATTACAGGAAATTTGCTCATGTGATTACAGAAACTGACAAGTCCCAATATCTGCAGTCAGCAAGTTGGAGACACAGGAGAACCACTGGTGTTGTTCCAGTTCTAATCTGATGGCTTGAGAACCAGGGGAGCTGATGGTGTGGTTTTAGTTTGAAGACTAGCAGGCTCAAGACCCAGAAAGAGCCAATGTTTCAGTTCAAGTTCAAACACAGGAAAACACATATGTTTCAGCTCAAGGCAGTCATACAGGAGGAGGAAATGATTTCTTATTTAGGAAAAGCTCAGCCTTATGTTCTACCTAGGCCTTCAACTGATTGAATGATTCCCATCCACATTAGGAAGGGTGACTGGCTTTACTCAGCCTGTCAATTTAAATGTCAAAGTCATCCTGAAACCTCCAGAATAATGTTTGCCCAAATATCTTGGCACTCCATGGCCCAGGCACATTGACACATATAATCCTCAATCACACAGTTTGCTTTTGAAAAGTGAGTAGCTCCATATTAATTTTTAAGGATTATTGGCATAAAGTTATGGGTTGGTATACTGAATCACAGGAAGCCAAAGGTTTTGTCAATACCTTTCTTAGAAATAAAAGACAGTGAGACATATTCTAAAAATGATAGAATTTCTAATTTTGTAATGAGCCTTGTCCCTCTCCTTTCGAGATTCTATTACTCATTCAATGCTCATAGAGTGTCTTTCATTTAAGGTTTGTGAGGCCGTGTTATCTCTTAGTCCCAATATTATCAATCTTATCTCCAGCTTACCCCTTTTAAACTACCAGGACAAATTGTCAAAGATTTGGAAGTGGGCAAAGGTGATTACTGGGTGTTCATTTGGAAGAATGCTGGATATTATCTGATGATTTATGGGATTATCCGATTCTACAGGCATGTTTTTAATTCTCTGACTGACTAGGCTATATTACAACTATTTAGAGATAGAAGTTAACTTGAAGAAAACTCATAGTAATGTAAACACTTTCTCTTTAGAACAATGCAAATTATTACTATTCATAGTAATGGAATAAATTTTATCAGGAAGATGGCATAAATCTCTCTAAATTAAATTATCATTTGAATCAATTTCAATATATTTCTGATTCAATTATTAATTAAAAAATGTGAAATTTTAACATAATTTTGTATTATATAAAATTAAAATATTTGCATTATGCCTTTAACTTTTTTGTTAACTTCACTGTTCTTTTAATTACTTTCTCAAAAATCTGTTTTAGTCAGTGGATTACAAGCTCAGTGAAGACAAGGACCACATTTGTCTTGTTTATTGCTGTATCCTGAGGGCTTACTATTAGGAATTTAGGAAGGGCTTGGAAAATGTCCACATGGTTTCCTGAATTAGTAAATGCAAATGAATCAAAGATAACTTCTGAGCAATGAAATGAGTCCTGAGGGAGAAAATTTCAGTGGTATTAAGAAAGCATTGAATGGCCTCATTAAATCAGAACATGCAAAGTGTTTACATGCAAAATTTATAATGAAAAGCCACTATTTAGAGAGTACCTTTAAGTATCACTGCTGGGGAACTGCAGTGTTTTTGGAGAGGAGTCCTATAGTGTCAAAAAGGTATGGACTGTTACTATTTTAACTTGGGATAGAAACATCAGGGAACAGTGCAAAATAATCTATTATATCCCTTGTACCTAGACATTAAAAACACACATATTTCTTATTCGTTTTTATATGATTAAATTTTTATTTTTAAAGATGATTTTGGTTTTCCTTAATTAAAAATTATTATTCTGGTAAAAATATTTTGCAGGAATCAAGAAAGTCAAGCCAATAAAATATTTGAGATTTTTACACATCTAGATTTAGATCTATTATAAGCTCATGCAATTTGCTTAGTACTATATAGGTGACTCAAGGAAACCAAAATATACTACCTGAAAATATACTTCTTTAGCATATTTTGAGATGGCTATTCAGAGGGCTGCAGATACTGGAATAGCTCTGACAAGCTGTCCTTTATAGGGGAGATTTGCATCTGTAGAGGAAATCTGTATTAATGAAGTAAAAAATGAATGCAAAGAGGTTTACTCTGGGGCCCTTGTATCTACCTTATTCAGATCTAGGAAAGATCAACTCACAGAGCAAGGAGAATAAAAGTCTAACGCTTTTAAAGGTCTGACAGAGACACTTTCGTAGGCTACCATCTATTCTTTCAGAGGTCCACTACCTGTGAGCCTTTGCTCACCATGCCTTTCCTCCCCTCTCACTCCCATGACCTTTCACCATGCTCCAAGCATGTATTTCTTTCTCTGCGAAAGAAAAACTTTAGTCATGTGGGTCTTCCTCAAGTCTCACATTTTGTGTTTTTGCTGTGCTTATGTATGTTAATAAATTTGTATGCCTCTTTTTTCTGTTAATCTATTTATTGTCAAATTACTTTACCAGGATGACTCAATTATTGAACCTTCAGAGGGAAAGTTTAAACTTCCTTCCATGATCTTATAAAGGCTAACGGAAACTGATTTTATATATATATATATACACATATATATGTATATATATGTATATATATACACGTGTATATATATACATATATATACACGTGTATATATATACATATATATATACACGTGTATATATATACATATATATATACACGTGTATATATATATACATATATATACACGTGTATATATATATATAAAATCAGTTTCCGTTAGCCTTTATAAGATCATGGATCTTATAATTATGTATATATATATATATGTATATATGTATATATGTATATATATATATGTATATATATATGTATATATGTATATATGTATATATATGTATATATATATATATATATAAATTTCCTAATAGATGCAGTACTCTTGCTAATATGCACATCTAAATTTTTGACACGTATGTTCTCAATGAACATTGAAATTTAAAAATCTAACATTTCTTTGCTCTATAACATTTGTAATAAAATTCATTATTCTGTGACTGTCTGTGGTATTTGCATGTTATAGAAACAGGGAGATGAGATGATAAAAGAAAAACAAAAACCTTGCTATAGAAGTAGTAAATCTCTTCTGTAAATACACAAAAACATGCACTAAAATTTTTTGAAAATTAATTTGTAATTCTAATTAGGCATTAGAAAACCCAACACCAACAGACCTTCCAACGTACATTAAGATGTTAAAATATCCAAAGATCTTTCTAGTATTATCTTTTTACTAAGAATTCCTGCTTTAGAGCTGCAAGCAGGATACCTACAGGGAGGCTGTTTTGCCTTGTGTCAGTATATTTAGTAACCATAGAACATCAACTGCTTTTTTTAGCATAACTCCTGAGTACTTTTTTTTTTTAACAACCACAGAACATTTCTGATGCGTTAATTATAATTTCCAACTGACAAATCTCTCCTCCAATAAATGATATTGGGTAAATTTAATCACTGTGATTATCATCTAGATTTCTCTAATTAGTAATTAATATGTTTAAAATTTTAATAAGATGAAAATGGTCAGAGAGTGGAGATAACCCAATTTACCATCATTGTTTTCCTTATCCATTTATGAATTAATAACTAACCTGCAAAGGCCTACAAAAGAGGAAGCTTGCTAAAGCATACTTTTTCTATGGGAAATTATAAAGTATTATTTGTGTCACCATAGAATATACTTACTGGTGTATTAAGATCTGGTTTCATTTCCGATCCCCTACTTAAGTAACTAGCCCAACGTCATGTAATTTTTACTTGTCTGAACTTCAGTTTCCTTACCTGTCAGCATGGAGCTGGGGGATCAAATGAGATAATACATGTAACACACATTGCACAGTACCTGACCTTTAGCCAAAATTTAATGCGGTAGGATCAACTAAATTTGTTAACACTTTTGAAAATTGAAAGTAATTGCTATGGCTTGTCTTTTTGACTGAGATAGTTATTTCATCCAAAACTAGTACACAAAATTTTAAAGAAGTTTTTAAAGAAATGAAATGGATATCCAGGAAGAGAGCCGGATGGAAAAACAAAGGAAATCAAAACATAAAATGAAAAATTGACAAAGACAATGACAAACTGGGTAAAAATCAGGCAATGAAGAAAGAAAAAAAATGCTGAGCACTATTTTGTGTCGAATTGCTGCAGCTATCCATTTGTTATATCATATTTTCTCACTTATACTCAGATTAAATGAGCAGTTAAGAGAAATGGATAGTTTTCATAATAACAGGACTGGTGGTCTAGAAAGTTGAGGCAAATTTGCTATTTATGGATTTTGTATCTTTAGGCAAGGCACTTGATCACTCCAGGTTACTTTGTTCATCTGAGGGTCTTAAAGCAAATATATGCTAAACTTCCTTCAAGCTTGACAATTTCTATGTCTATGATTCTTTGAATTCTAATACCCCAGTTTAACCTACCAAGCTCAATTCTATTTGAGTCCAAATTGAGGACTAGCTAAAACAGAAACAAAGTGGAAACACCTTTCCATAAAACACACCCACCAGTGTGCCATGTCAGTTTACCATTGCCATGGCAATCTAGAAGTTACTGCCCCTTTCCATGGCAATGACCTGGCAACCCAGAAGTTACAATCCTTTTTCTAGAAATTTCTACAAAATCTGCTCTTTAAATTTGATATAATCAAAAGTGGGTATAAATATGACTGCAGAACTGTCTTTGAGCTGCCACTCTGGGCACATTGTCTATGGGCGTAGCCCTGCTCCTCCAAGATCAGTACTTTTGTTGCTGCTGTACACTGCCGCTTCAGTAAAAGTTGCTGTCTAACACCACTGGCTCATGCTTGAATTCCTTCTGGGGAGAAGCCAAGAATCGTCCCAGGGTAAGCCCCAGTTCTGGGGCCTGTCTGCCCTGCATCAAAATAGTCCAAACTTTTAATCTTTAAACCAGTCTTTCCTCCCCATTTTTGTAACTTTATCAGTATCCTCTTTACCCTGTTCTTAAAAGAAAAGACCCTTGGCTGGTTTGTGAAAAAGAGACAGTGCATGCTTAGAGAATACCTGCAAAGTAGAATAGCTGGCTAGTCATGAAATTCTTCCATTACCAATTAGTCAACTTGGATAAACAATGTTATAATTAGCTATACCCATAATTATAAGTAAGATAAATATCATAGCTAATATTGGAGTAAGTCCATGAAATACTTATCTGTGTAGTGTAGTATCTGAACCACCCCTTCTCCTATTGTTCTATAGAGTAAAATTTGATGTCTGATGTTTGTGAATTTCCAAATTCTTACGTGAAAAAAATAGCAATTGAACTACATTTTGTGGGTTAGTTTATATTTTTTAGGTAGGCTAAATCATGAAAATCACATAAGGCGGTTAGGGATTCCTAAAACTGTTCTTCCTAGGTGATAATATGCAGACAGATAACATGAAAAATTATCAAAATAATGCAGATTCCCATTCAGTAAGTCTTGGGTCGGAATTGAGTACCCGAATTTTTAACAAGGTCTCACATAATGCCATTGCTGCTGGTCTGATGACTAGCTGTAGAATGGGCAAGGTGTAGATTGAACAGTCCCAGCCCCTTCTGCCCTCTCCTTAAATGTAGTTTAAGAAGACGTAATTAAAGCTGCTCTGCCCTCTTGCTTGAATGACCCATAGGCTAGTTGTTTTGCATCTCAGTTTTCTTCTCTGAAAGAGAAAGCAGGAAGGAATTTTACTGGTTCTGGGAAACAAGTAACATATCCAGTGGAAAGTATCCAAAGGAATAATATACTTTGAATAAAGTAGTGGGATCCTTTCAGGATGAAGTCATTTATCACAAGACTAAACATATGAGCTGTTTTGCTTCATTCACTCTGATCCTCAGACTAGAAATTTCAGTGGACTCCAAAATGTATAATTATAGTTGATATTTATCTCTAACATTCTGCTGATAATCCTTGTCTCAAGTTCTAGCTAGAGGTACCAATATAAATTCCATGAATTTCTATTCTAAACCAAGAACAGTTTTGTGGTTTAAATGGTAGCTTTTTCTTGCATTTTTTTAAATATGGAGTTTAAAATCACATGGCTTTTAATTTTAAAAAGTTCAAGTTTGGATTATTTTTGAGTGGCTATGTGTGAGGCACTCTGCCAAATGCTTTATTTATATTTTTATTTGATGTCCAATAGAATCCAGCCAGGTAGATGTTTTTAATCTTATTCTACAGAGAGGGAAACAAAAAATCTATTATTGTACTCAAAATCCAGGACTGTCTGGTACAAAAATAAATTGTTATTCTGAATTTTTCTACAGCCTAGTATAATTGGAATAATTGGAAATGCAATTCAGAGCAGCAACATTAAAAATAAAATTAGAGCATTTCCACTTCCAGAAAAATGGTGTAGATGTGTTTGTCCCTACTTGTCTTGCTAAGTACAAATTAAAATCCTGGATATTATACAGAAAACAAACACAAGACTCTGAAAATTGTCTAAATGAAAGCATACTGACTAGGAAACTCAGGACCCAAAAAATGGTAGAGCGGTGAATTGTCTAGGCTTTCTTCCTGTCTCATATGCCTCAGACTTGGAGTTGAAGAAACCAGCAATCCAGAAATGCCAACAGGCACAGACAAAAACAAACAACAACAAGAGTCTGCTTTTCATAGCTCAAAAACAAGGGAATGGGTAGCTTAGCAAGACAAAAAACTTTTAGACAATAATTATTCTCTTTTAGCCACATGCTCTAGAAAAAGCTATAACCTCATGCTTGCCCCACTATTAAAGGCCAAATGGAGAGCCTAGACTTCAACTTTTACCTGGTTGTAATAAGGTACTTTGACTCCAGTGATGGAGTACTGCTAGAGTAGGCCAAGTCAGAAGCTGTAACTTTTATTCCTACTGACAATAATTAAACCCTCCTCCTCTCCTTTACAGTGAGACCAGATGGGGAGCCTGAACTTTTATCCCTGCTTTGCAGTAATGGGTTGTTCATTCCCCTCTCCCCATATTGAGTTGGTGTCATAAGAAACCTAAGGGATAATTAGGAATGTCACCATGGTTCAGCAATAGGAAGACTACTTCTACAACCTTGGTATATATAAATAAAGGAGAAGTTAACAAGGCACACCTACGTTACCCAACCAAGAAATTATCAGTGGGGACCTAGCAAGGATGCAGAATTCCCACTCCTCTCTAGAAGTAATAAGGAGATCCCCCTTCAGGTATAAATGGAGGACAAGTGGGGAACTTGGATGTCCGCATGCACCTGACAGTGAGAAGCACTGTCACTTCCTTCTCATCCCAGAACAGTTCAGAGGAAGCTAGCTGAAACAAAAACTTAATTAAGATCCAGAGTCTTATAACATAATACTCACTGAAGATGTCTGGGTTACAATTAAAAAAAAAATTACTTGTATTTCTAAAAGTCTGAAACTTCTCAAATTGAATAAAAAAAAGACAACCAATAGATCACAATACTGAGGTGATAGAGATATAAGAATTATCTGATAATTATTTTAAAGCAGCTATAATAAAAACATTTCAACAAGTAATAGTGAACATGTTTGAAACAAGTAAGAAATCAAAAGTCACAGCAAGAAATAGAAATTCTTAATTTAAAGAAATCGAAAATAGAGGCCGGGTGCAGTGGCTCATGCCTGTAATCCCAGCACTTTGGGAGGCCGAAGTGGGCAGATCACAAGGTCTAGAGATCAAGACCATCCTGGCCAATATGGTGAAACCCCATCTCTACCAAAACTACAAAAATTAGCTGGGTGTGGTGGTGTGCACCTGCAATCCTAGCTATTTGGGAGGCTGAGGCAGGAGAATCGCTTGAACCCGGGAGGCGGAGGTTGCAGTGAGCTGAGATTGTGCCACTCCACTCCAGCCTGGTGACAGAGTGAGACTACGTCTAAAAAAATAAAAAATAATAAATAATAAAAAAATAGAAAATAGAAAGAAAAAATGGAAATTTATGACTAAAAAAATTAGTAACTAAAATAAAATACTCAGTGAATAGACTGAAACACAGAATGGAGGAGACCAAGGTAAAAATGGGTGAACTTGACAATAGAACAATAGAAATGACCCAATATGAACAAATGAGACAAAAGAGAGTTAAAAGAATACAGAAATAAACAGAGCCTCAGGGATCTGTGGGACTAAAACAAAACATCTAGCATCCATGTAATCGCAATTGCAGAAAAACAGAAGAAATTGGGAGGTACTAAAAAAGTGCTCAAAGAAACAATAGCTAAAACTTTCCAAATCTGGCAAAATATGCAAAACTATACCAGTCAAGAATAGGATAAAAATCCAAACAGAATAAGTCTAAATAAATCTACCCCCAAACACAGTCTAATCAAATTTAAAAAAAATAAAGACAAAAGAAAAAGACTTAAAAGTGTTGAGAGAGAAATGATACCTTATTTATTGGATAAAATCAATTAAAATGGAAGTGAATTTCTTATAAGAAACTATGGGCCAAATAAGAAATAATGACATTTTTCAAGTACTGAACAAATAGAACTGTCATTCCAGAATTGTATTACGTGGCAAAATATTCTTCAGGAATGGAAGGAAAATAAAGATATTATCTGTCAGATGAAAGAAAACCAAAAATATTTGTTACCAGTAGGCCTACCCTTAGAAAATTGCTAAAGGAAGTTATCTAAAGGAAATTAAACAATTTTTAGAAACATTAGAATAAAAAAGAAAGAATAATGGAAAAAGTAAAAATGTGGTAATCATAAGGCATTTTCTTCCCCTGTTGAGTTTCCTAAATTATGTTTGACATTTGAAACAAAAATTATAGCACTGTCTGATGTGGTTCTAAATGCTTATATAAAAATATTCAAGACAATTACATTATTAAAGATAATGATAAAATGATAAAATGGGAAGCAAGTTTCATGCAGTACTTGAGTCTGTAAATTTATGACATCAACAACTGACATTGTGGCATATTGTGATGACTTATGAACTAGTAAAATAATACCTACAACAGTTTAAAAGCTATAAAGAGACACACTCAAAATCACTTTAAATATAACAAATAAATTTCTAAAAATTGTTAAAGTAACCCATGAGTAGGCAGAGAAGAAAAAAAACTACACAGTGAGAATAGTCACAATCAAAAGAAAATGGCAAACTTATGCTTTGTCATGTCAATAATTACATTAAAAATAAATGGTCAAGTTTTCTGATTCCAAAATAGCAGCATAAAGCAAGCTGGTTTCACTTTCCCCTCAACCCTACAAAACCATAACAAAACAAGACATATATACAGCACTACGATTATTACCAGCAATATCCTGGAACTTAAATAGTTAATTCTCAAGAACACAGAAAAATGGAAAACTCTGAGCAGAAGGTGAGAGAACTAGACATCCATATCTGTGTGGCCTTTGAGATTGAAGTGGGCAACCAATTTTCCTACCATCTTGAATTCACCAGGCCAGAGGCTTGTCCCTGCCTCAATCTAAGGAAAACATAATGAGCACTGAAAGAAGTACCCTAAGGACAGCCAGAGACAAAGGGGAAAGTGAGACTACCATCCTCAATGGTGGAAACTACTCTATAACTTGGGGGAAGGCAATGCCAAAATTAGAGTTGCTGTTCAGCAGCATCACACTGTACATGGCAGGTTCCACAGGTCCTCTGGGTAGAAACCTTTAGCAAGCCTTACCACTCTGCCTGGATATCCCCTTTGGGACCTCCTTTCATTTGGCATGGGAAGTGCTCTGATAGTTTACTAGAGTTGAAGCAAACCTGGGCTTAAGGCACCATCTAGCACCACAAAGGAGGGGATAAATCTAACTGGTATATTAAGAATCTCTAAGCAAACATATGCAACAAAAAGTAAAACATGCCAAACAGAAAACACTGGAATAAATAATACCTCAATACAAAAACATAGATGCATATCCACAAGAAACAACAGCAAACAGGGAACCATGACCTCTCCAAATGGACGAAACCAAGAAACACTGACTGACAGTAAAGAGATGGAGACATGTGAGCTCTCTGACCAGGAATTCAAAATAGCAGCTTTAAGGAAACTCAGTGATCACCAAGATAACACAGAAAAGCAATTCTGAAATGTGTCAGAAAAAATTAACAAAAAGATTGAAATAATAATGAAAGTAAATAGAAATCTTAGAAGTGAGAAATATATTTGATGAACTGAAAAATTTATCTGGCTCTCTAAATAGAATGGATAAAGCAGAGGAAAGAATAAGTGAACCTAAAGATAGGCAATTTAAAAATACACAGAGGAGAAAAAAGATAAAAAGACTGAGAAGTAATGAAGATTCCCTGGAAGATATAGAAAATCACCTCAAAAGATTAAATTAAATATTGGTTTTTAGCAGGAAGTTGAGAATGAGCAAGGGGTAGGAAGCCTATTCAAAGAATAACAGCAGAAAACTTTTCAAAACTTGAGAAAGATAGGAATATCCAGATAAAAGAAGGTTAGAGAACACAAAATAGATTTGATCCAGTTAAGACTACCCAAAGGGTTATAATAATCAAACTCTCAAAGGTCAAAGACAAAGAAAGGATTATAAAAGCAACAAGATAAAAGAAACAAATAACATATACAAGAGCTTCAATTTGTCTGGCAACAGACTTCTCAATGGAAACCATATAGGCAAGGAATAAGTATGTCAGCATTTTCAAAGTCTTGGGGAAAAAACTCCCATCTAGTAACCCTGTATCCCACAAAGTTATCCTTTAAATATGAAGAAGACATAAAGTCTTTCTCAGGCAAACAAAAGCTGAGAGAATTCACCACCATCAAACTCATCTTATGAGAAATGCTAAAGAGAGTTCTTCAATCTGAAAAAAAAAAAAAAACATTAATGTGCACAAAGAAAACATTTGAAACTATAAAACCCACTGTTAAAATTAAGTATCAGACAAATATACTGTAGTCTAATACTGTAATTGTGGTGTGCAATCAACCCATAACTATAGTAAAAAGCCCAAGACAAATTTATTAAAAATAACAAATAACAATAGCTAGAGCAGCCTGTGAAGAGGAATAAGCAATATAAAATATAAAACTATGTACACTGAGATTTTTAAAAATTCAAAATGTTGAGAGGAATAGAGTTAAAATGTAGGGCTTTCTTTAGTTCTTTAAAATTTATTTCTGTGTGATCTAAGATAGGTCATCATTTCTTTAAAATAGCTAGTGTGTCTATAAGATGTTTTTGTAAGCCTCATGATAAGCACAATGTAACATTTACAATAGATTTACTAAAATTAAAATGCAATGATTTTAAATGTCACTTAACCACAAAGGAAGACAATAAGAAGGGAAGAAATAAAGAATTTACAAAACCAGAAAACAAGTAACAATATGGCAGTAGTAACTCCTTATTAGCAACAATAACACTGAATGTAGCTGAATTCAATTTTCCAACTAAAAGAATGTATGAATGGATAAAGAAACAACTCTATGCTGCTTACAAGAAACCCCCTTCACCTATAAAAACATACATAGACTGAAAGTGAAGAGATGAAAAAAGATACTCCATGCAACTGGAAACCAAAAAGAAAAAAAAAGCAGAAGTAACCATACTTAGATAAAACAGATCTTAAATCAACAACAGTAAAAAAAAAAAAAAAAAAAAGATTAAAGAGATCATTATATAATGATAAAAAATTAATTCAACAATAAAATATAACATTTCTAAATATATACACACCTAACACCAAAGCACCTATATTTGTAAAACAAATACTACTGGACCTATGAAAAAAGATGGACAGAAATACAATAATAGTGGGGAAATTTAATCCTACACTCACAACAGTAGACACATCATCAAGACAAAAGAAAAGTCAATAAAGAAACACTGAACTTAAATCGGACTGTAGACCAAATGAAACTAACAGACATGTATAGAAAATTCTACCCAGCAACTACAGAATATACGTTCTTCTCATCAGTGCATAGAACCTTTTGCAAGATAAATTATATATTAGGCCACAGAACAAATCTCAATAAAATTTTAAAAATCAATGCTTTCTCATAAACTGGAAAACATAGAGGAAATGGAAAAATTCCTGGAAACATACAACCTCCCAATATTGATTCAGGAGGATACAGGTATCTGGAGCGGACCAATAATGAGTAGTGAGACTGAATGAGTAATTTTCAAACTCCCCACCCCGCCCCCGCCAAAAAAAAAACCCAAGACCAGAAGAATTTACTAGATATACAAAGAACTGGTACTAATCTTCCTGACACTGTTTCAAAAAATTGAGGAGTGGGGAACCTTTCTAACTCATTCTTTGAAGCCAATATCACCCTGATACCAAGGCAGGTAAAGACACAACAAAAAAAGAAAACTACAGACCAATATTTCTGATGAATATAGATGCAAAAATCCTCAGTGAAATACTGGCAAACCGAATCTAACAACATATCAAAAAGATAATGCACCACAACCAAGTTGGTTTTATCCCAGAGATGCAAGGATGGTTCAACATACACAAATTAATAAATGATACTTACCTTATAAACAAAATTAAAAACAAAAACCATATAATTATCTCAATAGATGTAGACAAAGCCTTAGATAAAACTCAGTATAACTTCATGATAGAAACTACCAGAAACTAGGCATAGAAGAAGCATACCTCAAAATAATAAAAGCCATATATGTGATGAACCCACAAGCAATACTATTCTGAATGTGGAAATATTGAAAGCATTCCCCTAAAAACCAGAACAAGACAAGGATTCCTACTTTCACCACGACTATTCAACATAGCACTGAAAATTCTGGGCACAGTAATCAGGCAACAGAAAGAAATTAAAAAAAAAACACATTCGAATTAGAAAGAGGAAATACAATTTTCTGTTTGCTGATGATATGATCTTATGTCTGGAAAACACTAAAAACACTAACAACTCCTCCAAAACTCTTCTAGATTTAAAGAATGAATTCAATACAGTTTCAGGATACAAAGTCAATGTATAAAAATCAGTATCATTTCTATACACCAATAAGGATCAAGCTGAGAACCAAATCAAGAACTAATTCTCATTTACAACAACAGTAGAAAAATGAAATACCTAGGAATACATTTAACCAAGTAGGTGAAAGGTACATCAGTATCCAATACAAAACACTGATGAAAGAAATTGTCAAGGACACAAATAAATGAAAAAAATCCCATGCTCATGAATTGGAAGAATCAATATCATTAAAAAATGACCATACTGCCCAAAGCAATCTACAGATCTATCAAAATATCCAAATTATTTTTCACAGAATTAGGAAAAAACTATTGTAAAATTCATATGTAACCAAAAAAGAGCCTGAATAGCCTAAACAGTCCTAAACATAAATAACAAAGCGGGGGGCATCATATTAACTTACTTCAAATTATACTGCAAGGATATAGTCACCAAAGCAGTGCGGTACTGGTATAAGTATAGACATATAAATCAAAGGAATAGAATAGAGATTTCAGAAATAAAGCTACATACATACAACCAAACTGATCCTCAACAAATATGACAGAAACATATACTAGGGAAAGGATACTCTATACAATCAATACTGGTGGTAAAATTGAACAGCCATATTCAGAATAAAACTTGATCACCATCTTTCACCATACAAAAATTAAATCAAGATGGATTAAAGACAAATGTAAGATCTAAAACTCTAAAAATTCTACAAGAAAACCTTGGACAAACCTCTCAGCAAATGGCTTAGGCAAATAATTCATGAATAAGACCTCAAAAGTAAATGCAACAAAAACAAAAGTAGGCAAATGGGACTTAAACTAAAAAACTTCTGCACAGCAAAAGAAATAATAAACAGAGTGAAAAGATTCTGTCAAATGGGAGAAAATACTTGCAAATTGTATATCCAGTGAATCTACAAGAAACTGAAACAACTCAACCAGAAAAAACAAACAAATAACCTAATTAAAAAGTGGGCAAAGGAAATGAACAGAAAATTTTCAAAATTAGATAGACAAATGTCCAACAAATACATGAAAAAACGTTCAACATCACTAATATCAGAGAAATACACATTAAAACCACAGTGATATACCATATTACAGTAGTCAAGATGGTTACTATTAAAAAGTCAAAAAGTAACCCACACTGGTGTGGGTGGAGAAAAGAGAATGTTTATACACTGTTGAAGGGAATGTGAATTGTACAACTTCTATGGAAAACAGTATAGAGATTTCTCAAAGAGCTAAAAATAGAACGGCCATTTTATCTATCAATTGAACTACTGGGTATCTACCCAAGGGAAAAAATCATTTATCAAAAAGATACTTGTCCTGGTATGTTTATCACAGCACTATTCACAGTAGCAAATATGGAATCAACCTACGTGTCTATAAATGGATGACTAGATACAAAATGTGGTGTTTATATATATCATGGAATAGTACTCAGGCATAAAAAATAAAATCATGTCTTTGGCAACAACATGGATGGAACTGCGGCCATTAATCTTAAGTGAAATAACTCAGCAACAGAAAGTCAAATACTGCAAGTTCTCACTTATAAGGAGGAGCTAATTAATGTGTACACTATAGATATGGTCTATATAACAAAACTGCACTTGTTAGCTTGCATTTATTAGCTACAAAAAATGATGAGTGGATATTAAATCCTCATCACAAAAATACTATGTGAGTTAATAAATGTATTTGTTAATTTAACCATTCCACAATGTATAAAAGTTTGAAAACATTATGTTGTACATGAAAAATACATACAATTTTATATACCCATTTAAAAATAATTAACTTAATTTGGAACAAAAATAAATGAATGGCAAATCTAAATAAATGAAAAGACATACCACACATATGCGTGGATTGGAAGGCTCAACAGTAAAGATGTCAATTCTTACCAAGCTGATTTACAAATTTAAAGTAATTGCTTTTAAAATCCTGCAGGGTTTTTTGTAAACATAGGCAAGATTATTCTAAAATTGGCATGGAAAGACACAGGAATTAAAATAATTAATACAATTTTGAAAAAAAAAGTAGGAGGGATCAGTCAATTCAACTTCATAACTTATACAGTTCCAGTAATCAAGATTGTGTGGTATTTGTGAAGGAACAGACGTATAGACCCATGGAATGAAACAGAGAACTCAGAAACAGACCTATGCAAATATACTCAACTAATATTTTGCAATAGTGCAAAAGCAGTTTAATGGGGTAAAGTTAGTCTCATCAAAATTGATGTGGGAGCAACTGGACTACAAGGGGGTGGTAAATGAACCTCAACCTAATCTCACACCTTTACAAACTTATAAGTAAAACTGAATCTTTTAGAAAAAAATTAAGAGAAAATCTTTGAGATACACAGCTAAGCCCGTTCTCAGTCTGCACACCAAAAGCACAATACATGAAAGGAAAAATGGGTAAATTCGATTCCATAAAACTTCAGACCTTTGCTCTGCAAAAGACCCTGTTAAACAGTTAAAAAAGGAAAGTGCAAAATGGAAGAATATATTGTAAACCACATATCCAACAACAGAGCAGAATCTAGAAAATACAGAGAGCTCTCAAAACTCAACAGTACAAAAATAATCTAATTAGAAAATAGGCAAAAAACTTGAAGAGACAGTTCACCTGAGAGTATGTACAGATAGCAAATAAGCACATAAAAATGTTCAAACGATGAGTCATTAAGGAAATGTATGTTAACAGTATAATGAGATATCTGTATATACTAATCAGAATGACTAAGATAAAAAACACTGATAACACCAAATGCTCTGCAGGATGAAGAGAAATTAGATTATTAATACACTGCTTGTGAGAGTATAAAATGGCATAGCCATTCTGAAAAAGTTTGGCAATTTCTTTTTTCATTATAAATTTTATTTTAGGTTTAGGAGTACATGTGCATGTTTGTTATATAGGTAAACTGCATGTCACAGGGGGTCAATATGTAGATTGTTTTGTCACTCAGTTAATAAGCATAGCCATTCTGAAAAATTTTGGCAGTTTCTTAAAACTAAGCATAAAATTAACTATAAACGTAGCAATCGAACTCTTGTGTATTTATTCTAGAGAGGTGAGAACTTATGTTTACATAAAGTCTACTTATAAATTTACAGTAGCTTTTTCATAACCCAAACTGAGAAGAACCTAGGTATTCTTCAATGCATAAATGAACCGTGGTGCATCTCTGCCATGAAACACTACTCAGCAGTAACATAGTATAAACTATAGATACAGGCAGTAACTTGGATGAATAGCCCAAGAATTATTCTGAGTGAAAAAAAAAGCTAATCCCCAAATGTTACTTAATATCAGATTCTTGAAATAACCAAAATTACAGAAATGGAAAAGAAATTTGTGGTTGTCAGTGATAAGGAGAGAGTAGGAGTGGGATCGAAGTGATTATTGCTATCAAAGGGTTAAGGATCCTCGTATGGATGGTAATGTTCTGTGTCTCAATTTCATCAATGTTAATATCCAGGTTGTGATATTATTCTACAGATTTCCAAGATATTACCATTGGGTGAAACTGAGTAAATGTACAGAAGATCTCTCTATTATTTGGTACAACTGCATGTGGATCTATTTATCCCTCAAAGTAAACATTTCTTAAAAAAAAAAAAACAAAAAAAAAAAACTAAGAAGCTTTGAAGTGAGTATGAACTTTAGTAAATTGTCATTTATCAATAGTGGCCAATTCATTTTGAAGTTGTTAACAAACAGGGGAGACCATGCATAGGATGTAAGAGAACTCTCATGTTCTACTGACTTTTCTATAGATCTAAAACTTGTGAAGTAAATACTTTACTGAGTTTATAAATATACACATAAATAAAATGGGAAAATGTGGAGATACACTTATGTGTTGTGCCATTTAGAAAGTGGCATTGTTTTTATAATAAAAATAGTTTGTATAGTTTTCATGATTGTTTTTATGGTAAAAAATGTAAAAATATTTGAAATAAATCACATTATAACTATACATTGGAAAATATATGTATGTATGTTACATATGTGTACATATAATATAATAATATTTGCTAAATTTTTTTTAAAAGGCAAAGATATTGGTGATAACAAATCATATTGTGTCAATGGGTGAAATCTGGTATCACTCAATATTTTTATTGTACCAAGAGAAGTATATATAACCCTATATTTGTCTATGGCTATGCTTTTAAAATATTTCATACAATGTTCATAATAATCAGGCCGTTTAGCTCCTCTCAAAACTCAGGTGTAATTATCATATTCAATCTTGGGATCACTAAACACACAAAACACTTGACTCAAAGAAGACATACAACTACTGTTTGTTCAACCAAGATTTGTGTTGTCCAGGATATCACAATTATTGAGTGGAAGAGGGAAGGAAATCACAAATATATCCTTCTTCTAAAAGTGGAGTTCATTTCATCACAGTTTAATTTCTGGTATGGCTAAAAAGGAAAGCTTTCCTTTGTGTTTTATCTTTATTTTTCCCATCATCTTTGGCAGATGTCACATACATAGTAAGTGCTCATTAAGTATAAGTTGAAGAGAATGAAGTCATTTCTCCCTCTAAGACAACTCTCTTGCTTCTCATGGTCTCACCATTTCATAGTTGAGACAGTAAAACTTGGCAATTTTCATTCACAGTTTTGAATGATTTAGAATTCTGTTTTGCATTTCAGTTTTGTCTGAACCCATATGGTAAAGTCAAAACTCCCAACAAATCTGATAAATTCCATCTTGTGCTAGCCATTCCCTGTGGCTTGGTACAGCACTACAAGCTTTTGCACTACTTAATTTTTCCTTGTTCCATGACCATCTGTATCTGCATCTTTAGACTTGAATAGGTCTTGCAATTGTCTGAAACACAGTATAAAAGAGCTCTGATATGTTCATTTGTTAAGGATGAGTCTCTAAGAGGCTAAGAGAGTAAATAAACCAATCTGAGAACACAGAGTTTGCAGTACTAGAGTAGCATCATACCTCAGCACAAGTATGCTCACCTGTAAAGGATAACTCTTGGAGTTAGAGAGCTCAGATTTAGAGTTAATAAATGGTCACTTGTTGGTATGAATGCTTACCAAGTAATTAATATGTATCCAATACTAAGGACAAAATGTACTAGATACTTTTTAAATTCTCCAAGCAAACCTTTGAACTAAACACTAACATTAGCCCCACTAAATTATCAGCTTCATTTTATTATCTATCAAAATGCTAGGCACTACAAATTTAGTTATTTTGCAGGGTACAAATTGCATCTATGAAGATGCCGACAAAAACATTTAGGTAGTCTTCACAGTGGATTTTACGTTTGAGCTGTATCTTGGGGAATGAGTGGGGTTTGAGCAGGCAGAGCATGATGGAAAGGATATTCTGTTCTAAAGGATCATTCTGTACCAAAGATCCAAAAGAACTTGTAATTGAATGATATATTCAGATAACAATGTGGCAAAATGCATGGCTGAAAGTGGTATGAGATATCTGATAAGTAGGAAAGTAACTTTAGATCTAATTATGGATGGCCTTGAATGCTAGATGAAACGTTCTGGACTTCATTCACTAGGTTACAGTGAACTGAAATGTGGAATGCTGTGACCCTCTGGCAGCAGCGTGAATCATGCATTGAAGAGGAATCAGAGATAGGAACACTAGGTAGGTCTTCTCAGATTAATTGGTTGAGGGTGAACAAGAGCTTTGAGCTCATTAATATGCTTTGCTCTCTATTAGACTTTATGTCCTGTGGCTCATTAGTTCCCTGTTGATATAGCCTCAGGCTGTGTTTCTTCCTGAGTGAGTTCGTGGGGTAAAGATTTTCCTCTCCCTCTTAAAAGTATATCAACATCCAGCCTTGCTGGGCTGTGCAGCATTTGCCGATTCCTTTGTGAGCACTTCTGACCCATAAGAGAGTTCAGTTTGAAATGTTAACTAAAAAGCTGGGAAAAAAATTAATTAGCTATCGTCAGCTCTGGCTTAGGTATTCACAACATCTATTTCTGAGACTTTCCACAACAGAAACATGGTTTGTTTGTTATGCCATTGGTCTTATTTCTCCAGAGGATGAAATTTAATAATTTGGGGGGTGACTTTTATTATTCAGCTTGCTCGTTTGATGAGAAGAGATGGAATAGGCCAAGGCAAAGGATAGATAATATTTTTCTTTTTTCAATACATTGAAAATATTTACATAATTGTGTGTCTCTTGTTACATATAAACACCTAAGATAAAAACAAAATCTAAAATAAGAGAGAGAAATTAGAACAAATGGAAAATGAGACTTAGAATGAGATAATAAAAATGGGAATGACGCTAGTTACGGCAATTATTATCCTGAAAACCTGCACCCTTTTCAGCGATGGGCCATCAGTTGGGCTCTAAACTTTCTCGTAATTAACCCTGGGACTGTAAGCCTTTTCAAATGTCTATAGAGGGAAGAAAGGGAAAAGTAAACAAAACACTTGTGCCAAAAAAAAAAAAAAAACCTTGTATTCATCATTTCTGTTTGTTCAATTTCTCTAATATCTAATGGTACCAGGAGGATATTATAGGTTGTAATGAAAACAGTTCTTCAAAAATATCCTTGTAGTACAGATGTCATTTCAAAGAATTTTTCTCAATTTGCCCATTAGTATAAGGTTGAAACACATTTCAATAACATAAATGGAATGAAGTTGGGTGACAGAAGGAAGAATACAATATTGCTGTCTAAATACGGAGTTTTCTATTCATCCTATATAATCCAAGACTAGGTCTTAAAAAATGCATTCCAAATCTCCAATGATGTTGGTCTCCAGAGAATCTTCTCCAGTGCATAGTTAAGCCTACCATCAGATCTGTTAGAATGTTCCATCTTGGATCAAGTTTCTTTTTGGAATATCATTAAGACAAACTGGATGCAAAACATACAGCTAAAGAAGCAAATACATTAATTTGTGATGTGATAATAAATATGTCAGTTTAATACTGAAAAACTTCACTAAAATTATTGACTTCGATTTTACAATAATTACAATTTTTGACTTGTTAATTATAGTTGCTTGACTTCTTGAGTAAATACCTAATTTATTTGTTTTTCTTTAAAGCTAAACACAAGGCATTTCTTAGAAAAGAAGACAAGGCAATGAAATAGATTCAGTCCCCGAGCAACCTGACTGGTTGATATTGAGAGCTAAGGAGGTGATGGGGAAGAAGGGGAGCACAGGATGCATTAAACACAAACTTCTGTTTCATAGCCCTGCAAGAAGCTATTTCAACTTAAGACACACTCAAATTGGATCCCATCCAGTGGTAGGTTTAAAATGCGTTTTATTTCTTGCTTTCTCTATTGAGCATTTTCAGCATCTTTGCTGCAGAACCTCCCAAAGTTATTTACTACAGGTGTGTTCGTAATTGTGATATATTATAAACATTTACATTGTATAATGGTCCTCAACATCTTGCATCCGTGACCTGGTACCTGCATACCAAGCAGTCAGGCAAAGCAGGTAGAAATATAGGCTGCCAACTTCTGGTAAAAGGGCTTTGTTTTGTATTTTCTTTTCTCAGATGTGACATTCTCTTAGGACATTAATATTTGTGTAGCAATTTTTCTCTCAATTTTCTACATTGCTTCAGTTAAATGCATCTTTTTAACTTAAAATATTAACAATGTTTAACAGAAACCTTTCTAAATGACATGCATGCTTCATTGTCTTCTTAAACTAAGTTAAGATAAATTTAGATTTATTTTCTAAATGACCCACAGTTTATTGCATCAATAATTGGACCATGATGAAATGAGTCCCATTGGTATTAACGATGCATAAACAGATTTTGCTTGGTCACATATGTCCTCATCTTATGAGCTCTTGACTTTGTTATGTAATAATAATAATAATTCATCTTCTATATTGCAAGTCCAACTGTCAGTGATTATGCTTACTGGTATCTATATTCCTACATCTAGTATCATTTCCCCAGGTCCACCCCCTTTAATTGACATCATTCTTTCTTTCTTTCCTTTTTTTTTTTTTTTTTTTGAGATGGAGTATTGCTTTTGTTGCCCAGGCTGGAGTGCAGTGGTGGGATCTTGGCTCACTGCAACCTCTGCCTCCTGGGTTCAAGCGATTCTCCTGCCTCAGCCTCCCGAGAAGCTGGGATTACAGGCGCCCACCACCACATCTGGCTAATTTTTTGTATTTTTAGTAGAGACGGAGTTTCACCATGTTGGTCAGGCTGGTCTCAACATCACTCTTTCTTAAAGCATACCTACCATAATAGCAACAGCATTGGTGACATTCACCACCCACAGCACTTATCTAGCACTTAATGTGCCTCCAAGACCCTATCAGGAGCTCTACACCCATTTTCCTTCACAGTTGCTTATGCGGTAGCTAATTGACTTAGGTGAGGAGAAAAATACACAAATTTCAAGAGGGATAAAAATGTGCTTTTCACGCAGAAACTACACAAATACACACAACTAAAAGAGGCACAACAAAATATTTTTGGAAGGAAATCTGTAAGAACATCTGTCATACAGGTAAACAAATTAAAACGAATATGTCTAAACAAGAGAATTCAAATCCCACACAGGAAATTCCCCAGATATAAGAAATTTACATCTAAGGGAAAATAATAGGAACTTTTAGATTTTATTTTATTTCTCAGTATAACACTTATCTTTAATGCTGTTCTGTTTATGGTACTGTTATTGAAATTCAATCACAGGGATAGAAGAGGACCATGGATGCAGCTGGCAAGAAAGATGAAGGAGCCAAACAGTAATCAGGAGAATACTATCCTGGGTGCTAAAGATGCTATTAAATGGCTTCAGAGATCAAGAAAAGAAGTTGGTGTGGAGATAAAGAAAACGAGCATTTGAGGCCGGGCCCAGTGGCTCTCACCTGTAATCCCAGCACTTTGGGAGGCTGAGGCGGGTAGATCACTAAATCAGGAGTTCGAGAGCAGCCTGGATGACCTGGTGAAACCCCGTCTCTACTAAAAGTACAAAAATTAGGCGGGCATGGTGGCGCATGCCTGTAATCCCAGCTACTAGGGAGGCTGAGGCAGGGGAATCGCTTGCACCTAGGAGGCGGAGGTTGCAGTGAGCTGAGATCACTTCACTGCACACCAGCCTGGGTGACAGAGCAAGACTCCATCTTGCAAAACAAACAAACAAACAACAACAACAACAAAAAAACAAGCAATTGGTATGTTGATTCTGAGATGCCACAAGTGCACCTAGAAGGCAATATGACAGCTGGTTATACTCTTCTTGAGATCCTCAATATGGGTGGTCTGAGAAGATTAGCCAGTAGAAGAGAGGAGACAAGAATCAAGGCTAATGCACTCTTTCAGAGGCCGAGGAAGGAGAGGACTTCAGAAGGATGGGGGCGGTGGTCAGGAAGGCCCAATTATTTTTTGCAATTACTAAAATAGTAACATAATTTTGGCAATTCTTCTATGTGACTATGTGGGGTGAACCCCAATGTGCTAGGAAAACATCAAATTTGTTGGAAATTCTGGTCTCTCTTGAAGTTAACAATCTTTCTTGACCATTCTTTGAGAACAGTCCGTAAAAACTAATTTGCTTTGCATCTGTATTCCCCAGTATTTAACCTAGATGTTTATCATTCATTCTTTCTGCACTTTTTCATCCTTTGTAATTGCAACTAGGGTTCTCTGTCTAAATTTCCACTTTGACTTCTCTCCACAGTATTTCTGTTTTACTCCTCACATTGACTGGGCTGTGTCACCAGCCTCATATAAGAACCTCACAGTTAAAAATGTCCTCTCTGCCTATCTACTCCTGTACCATCCTCATGGACAGGTTTCTACAGGGCACAGGTATAGACTGTGTATCAAAGAAGCCGGCTATACCAGGAATACATACAAGCAACTGTTAAAATCCAAATAATTATTTTGTTACTGAAGTGTTTAAGCATCAGAGCTTAAAATGAAGCATCTTTTGTAGTTTTAAGTTTTTATATATAAATTAAGTTATTCTTCCATTTCACAGTTGGTAACACCTAGAAAACCTGATTGAAAAAAACACATTGGGAGAAAGAGGACACAGATATCATCTGGAAAGGAAAAGATTTGTGTTAACAAATATATAACGTGCTCACAATGGAAAGCTCCCACTTCTCACTTTCCCTCCTCCTTCCAGCTAACATGGGTTTGGGTTTGTTTTGTTGTTGTTTTATAAGCTGTCACAGTGGTAGATGCAGATTGAAGCTCCAGGCAATTGCAATTAAATCAGGAAAAAGATATGCATTCACCAAGGTTAACACAAGCTGCAGCTTAATCAGGATGAAACAAACAAACACATCCAAGGACCTCAAAATAAATACAGCCATTTCAATCACCTTCTTTTAATATCCACCTCCCCCCGCCCCCGCAACCCCTGCAATAACTTAAAAAAACACGCGCAATGAAAAGCTAAATAAATAAGTTCCCAAGTCAATATATATGTCATGAAAATTTTCAAGCTACCAATGTAACACATTATTTCAGTTTATTGGCTATTGATCTCAAAACAAGTCATTATAGGATTAAAGACAAATTTTGATACAATAGAGACTCCTCATATATAAGCCATAGACACATGTATAAACTTAATATTGATTGACTTTACAGATAAATATTCATAATGAGCTCATTGTTTTAATTTGTGTTTGAATACGTGTTTCCTTTTAAATTTGGTTTGAGGATATAAATTTTGGTAAATGGCTTATCAGCATTACATCTAAATAGATGTGCATACAAATACACTGAGGATGGTGGTTCGAGTGTAGTAGGCCATATGAACTTCATATGATTGGTTTTTTGTGATGGCATTACATTTATCATCATCTCTTGTCATTATTATTTTTTAAATGATCTATTTAATTTGGATACTTTCAGTCTCTATAGGTAACTCTCCATGTTGCTGCCAGACCTATTACGTTAAAAAAAAACTTCTATTTTTCTCAAAATGTTGTATGGCTCTCTGTTTCCTACAGATACAAATTCTAAACTCTTTAGCTTAATTTCTAAAGTTACCTATTTTTCCCTATGCCCTTGTTTTTTTCTGATTAAATTACTTTATAGGAATGTATTTATACAAAGCTTAGACCTAACAGTCCTGATTAACTCATCTTTAACCAAGCTTCTGAGCCTTTGTTGGTGCTGCTCCTACAGCTTGGGACAGTATTTTCACTGCCCCCAAAATTATCAGTCTCCTAGTATTTCTTAAAGACTGAAGCCCGGGTGTGTGATGTTCCCCTCCCTGTGTCCATGTGTTCTTATTGTTCACTCCCACTTATGAGTGAGAACATGCGGTGTTTGGTTTTCTGTTCCTGTGTTAATTTGCTGAGAATGATGGTTTCCAGCTTCATCTATGTCCCTGCAAAGGACATGAACTCATCCTTTTTTTAGACTGAAGGCATCCTTCTGTGATGCCTTGTCTAACGCTCCCAGTTAGACTCACTCGTTCCTTTGCACTGCCAGCAGTACTTTGCTTATACTTTTTGAAATAGCGTGTGTTTTATTCTCCTGCCTTGATTTTAGTCATTAACACATGCATCTCTTGATAGAAATTTTTATCATCTTAAGGTAAGGGGCCACATCCAATTTAATTCTATATGTCACTCCCATATTATCTAGATTACTATTGGTACCTGGTAGGTTTAGACTTATTAATTTATATTTTAATCCACAAATCTAGCCATCTATTTATTCAATAATTTATCACCTCTTGCATAAATATTGAGCTCTTTATATGATACTCAATGGTAACAAAGATACAGTGAATGAACCATAACAAAGACACAGTGAATGAACAGACAGTAGTACCTATCCTGGCTTCACTGACATTCTTGTCTGAAAGACAAGCTTTAACAAGTAGTTGCAAGGAAGTGTGCAATGAGTGTTTGGTCTAGTTTGAACACTAGGAAAAGAAGAATGCCACAGTCTAGGTACCATTAAAGTCCACCTTGAGAAAGTGCTCTTTAATTTGAAGTTTGAGTGATTAGAAAATGTTCACCAATTTAAGAAGGGGAAGAAGGCAGAACAGAGTGTTTCACTCTAAAGAAGAAAAAGAATGTGAAAATCTGTAAAGATAAAAGAGATTTCTTTAGTTATTTTCTAAAAGAGAAAGTGAGAGAAGAGAATGAAGGAGAGTGACAGAAAGATACTAAAATAAGAGTTTTATGGAACAAGACCTCAAAAGGATGTAGAAAAGCCATATAAATTTATAATCTTGAGTAATAGCAAAATAAGTAAGACAATTTTGAAAATATTATATTATATTCTGACTTCTCCAGAAGAGAACTTAAGGATGCTGTTAAACAATGGTCAAATTATAAGTGAATAGGGAAGGTAGGAATTGATTCTAGCATCTACAGATAAGACCAAATATATTTGTTATCACCAAACAATGGTATGACTATGTACTTAATTGGCTATCTGTAGTCAACTCTGAAAATCTATCCCATATCTAATTCCTCATTTCAACTATAAGACCCCAAACCTAGTTGGTATACAATAAATCATTGTTGAGTGATAGAAAATATATAAAACATTGCATATCTTCCCAGATGTGTACAAATTGTTACATTGCCCACGTTATAGAAATATATGACAGCTTTCACTTACATTTCTCACATCTCTCAGATGCATATTTTTTGCTTTATTGGCTTTAAACTCATATTAATACCATAAAATCAGCCCTGGGGGCACTGTTAGGCTATAAGCATTTCTCTGATTCAAATGTTATATATCCATACTCCTACATCATTACTTCCCAGTGTCTGTTATTTTCAGAATTTTCTGAAGGCAAGATTCTTGCCCTCCTTCTCTGTCATTTAGACTTAATTTATTCTCTTAAAAATTGCATTCAAGTCAGAACCAGTTATTACTAAATGGTACGGTTTGTTCCTTTTCTAATGTTTTTCCTTTGTTTTGTTTCTTTTCTACACTTCTTTTTAGAAGGAGCTCCAAAGATCTGCCACTTCATTTTCCTCTCTCACTCTTAAATCCTTTCTGCAGTAATGGCAACTAGTGGTCCTTTTGTTCTGTTTAAGCAATTTATGGAACAGCTTGTCCCCAACATCCCAATAATTTTGTACATGATTAACTGTCAAAATAGTCTTTATTTTAATGAACTAAACTTAGCCTCTTTGTCACCTTTGTAAAAAAAATTCTACATTATGCTTTCTAGAGACATTAAGAAAAAATTAAATAACATGACTCTCTTTCTTGCATGGTAGAATTCCACTATTTTAAGACAATGTTTACAGCATACTTTTTTCTTTCTAAACACAATATGGTCCAGATGACAGGTATGTGTTCCTGATCTCTTGAGAGTTACATATCCCTATTTCAACCCCTGTCCTCTGTTCCATGGAAGTTTAAATCAACCACCAATATTTCTGGAATTTAATGGGTTAACTGCATTCTCAAGGCTATCTATGTTTACGGTTTGTATTTCTATATACAGTCATTCTTATCCCAACCTAATTAGTCAGGATAGGGAATTTCTCAATTTCTTGATTCCATTTAACACAAATGATTTGCAGAATATTGAAGATTCTGGGAATACAGTAGTGTAGAGGAATGGTTTATTTCTATTTTCCAATAATGTATACCCTTGAAACAGAACACTTAACATTCCCGTTCTTATACTGCCTTTTACTGTCTTATACTCTCTTTTTCACTGATTAACTTTATTCTATGCCATTCCCAGTCTCTTTGTCTTCTCATTGGCTTACCTTCTCACTACACTACCTTCTCTGTCTTTTCCCTTCTCATTGAAATTGTGGATAGATTCTCTCTCCCCGCTCTCTCTGTAACTCTCTCCCTCTGCTTTACCCTTTCCTTTCTTCCTCTCTTTCTTCTCCTATCTCTTCAACCTCTTCACCATCTCTCTCTTACCTCACTGTTAGTTCTAGTTTATAAATTCAGAAAATGAGTCTCAGAGAAGTTAAGTGACTCGTGCAAGTTCACCTGGTTAGCAAGATTAAGATTCATACTCTGCTCTGTCAGCCATCTATTTTTGTTTAGTTTGACCTTCTTAAAATTAATGTTGTTAAATCTGACCTATGATGACGCCTTGTTAGACAGTAAAAGCTTATTGAATTACATATTTTATGCTTTTTGGAAATGTGACCAATGTGTAATGGATACTGTTAACAACAAATTGAATAAAAGGTACACCCTTAATACCAGAGTGAATTAGGGCAAGCTACAAACGATGTGATATATTACTGGAGTCATTGTTATTGAATTAAAGCTTCCTAGTATTTGATATATGGATTAATAATCAAACATATATGTATTTTAATATGGTCCATCTCTGAATGATGAAACATGAAAAGAAAACATTGCATCCATCATTGTTGCATTATTTTTAATTTTGAAAGTAGCTAATGTATTTATCTAGAAATAAAATCATATTAACCCATACAAGCTTATACATAGCATAAAGCATTATATAATACACATTAAATGCATAGATATTTTTACATGTGTCAAGATTGAAAGTGGAGTGTGGGGTGTAGTAATCCCAGAAATAAGGAAGCTATGAGTGGGGGAATCATAAAAATATGAAAAGAAACTCCTTCCAAATGATTGAATGATTCCTAAAGTGTGCATATGCAGAGTAAAATTTCAAACAAAAGCAATAGCTATAATTGAACAGTTTCAGCAATTGCCTTTTAAATTTATGCTTTTAAATTTTATACTTTTAAATTTTGATGTAACTGGAAGCTTACAGGAAAACTGTAAATGCTGTATCCAGATTCACCAAGTGCTTTTATTGCTCTGTGTATGAATATATATGTAAAATAAATGTTACACATATAAAACTAAGCTGCAGATCTAATTTTACACACACATATTTTTTGAAGTAATTGAGAAGTTGTAAATATCATATCCTTTTTTCTCTAAATACTTCCTAGTGTAATTCCTAAGAATAAAGATAGTATCTTACATATGCACAGTACTGTGGTCAGAATTAGAAAAATTTACGTGGATACAATGCTATTATGTACTCTACAGTCCATATTTAAATTTTGTGTGTTATCCCAGTAATGTTTTGTATACTATTTTATTATCGGGCCAGGATCCAATGCGGGATTACATAGCGTATTTAGTGTTCACGTTTCTTTACTCATAAATGGGATTAATGCCCTTATAAAGAGATTTCAGAGAGCTGCCTTGCCTCTTTGACCCCTTTCACCATGTGAGAATGCAGCAATAGGGTGCCATCTATGGAGCAGAAATGAGCCCTCATCAGACACTGACTCTACTAGCTTCTTGGTCGTGAACTTTCCAGCCTTTTTAACCAAGAGAAATAAAATTCTATTATTTATAAATTATCCAGTCTAAGGTATTTTGTTATGGCAGCAAGAACAGATTAAGACACTTGGAGTGTCTGAGTTATATCTCCCATGAAGTTATGATTTTCTCCTTGTAATTAATGAGTCGCTTGTGGACAGATATCCCAAAATTATTCAAATAATCTCTTTCTTGAGAAAGTATCACTCAATAGCTTTAGTTCCACTGATAGTTTTCCAAAGCCACCATTCGCTCTGTATTTATTAGTTAAATTTCAACTGTAAGGAAGATTTTCTTTTTCATTTCTTTATTTATTCACTTATTTATCTATATAATTTTGAACTCATGAATCCTTTTGTTACTCAATGAGTCATAGCCCATTACTCTTATTATTATTTTGCTGTCCAAATTGTCTTTAGTTTTTGGTCAGTCAAGTCCCTTTAAGCTGGCTTCTGTGTCACTTGGATATGTACTTATCTTTCTTTATATATTCCTTACTTCAAGGCATATCAAGAGTATCAAGTTTATTGCTTACTTTCCTGGACCCAGCCCTGAATTCAATCTTTCCTCCAAGCCACCTTAACTTAGTTTAAAGAAGGGTTGCACTTAGAAAACCGAATCCGAATGCTAGGCATCCTTTTTGCTAAGGGTGTGCCATTACTTTTAATCTCTTTAAGATGGAAGAAAATGACAAAATGTGTGTGTCTGTGTGTGTGTATTTTTATATCTATATTTTAAAATTATTCTTTCGTATATTTTTCTATCCCATTCTCCCTCACCTCTCCCTCTCCTCTCTCTCTCTTGTCTGTCTCTCCACTCCAGCCCTATGGTTTGATATTATTCCACAGGTCACTAAAAACTAAAACTTCATCTCTTTTATCTTTCTTTTTGTCTTTATAAAATTTATAAATATCTTCCCATTTCTCTTTGAATTTACTGACCCTTTTCTTTAGTGCCTCTACTTCTCCACTTTGCTGTTAAGACTTTCAAATGAATTATTCACCTCAAATGTTATACTTTTCCATTTTATTATATTTTTATTATTTCCATTTTACTGTTAAAAGTCTCCATATTTTCACCCATTATGATTATCTTTGTTAAAAGTTGTTAATATACTTATTATAGCTGCTTTAAAGCCCTGTCTGAAATTTAAAATATCTATGTAATTTGGGGCAGCTTCTAGTTACCTCTTTTTTGCTTAATTATAGGTTATATATGTATCTACCTATATATATGAAAAGATAAATATATCTTTATGTATATATCTTTTTTTCTTATCTCATACTAAACATTGTAAATAATACATTTTAGAGACACTGGATTCTGTTATTTTCCTCTGCTGAGTATTTAATCGGTTAATTAACCAGTTAAACTGTCTAGACTTAAATCCTAAATTTTATGGTGGCAATTGCTGAAACTGTTCAATTATAGCTATTGCTTTTGTTTGAAATTTCACTCTGCATATGCACAGTTCAGGAATCATTCAATAATTTGGAAGGAGTTTCTTTTCACAGTTTTATGATTTCTCTCTCTCATAGTTTCCTCATTTCTGGGATTACTACACCCCACACTTCACTTTCTCTCTTGACTTGAAACAGTAAACTACAAAAACCCTCAAACATTTTCAGCTAAAGTCAGCATTCTCCCACACATGGAAATCCCCTTTTATCTTTTGAAAACAAAAGCCAATGAAATATAATTTAGGCAAAGCAAAGCAAAAATATCACAAATGAAATCAAAAGGGAGATGAAATATTTCACAGATTCCTCTGTTGTAATGCTAAAGCCATGGACAGATACCGCTTGAAGGAGAACAAAATTTAACAAATACCATTGGTGTTTATACATGCAATATTCTAATTGGACTCCAAAATGTTTTGGTTGACAGCAATACGTGTTGCTGGGAATCAATCTAGTAAAAATGTGTACTAGTACATCTTTTTATAGGTTTAGCCATATTCATAATAGAAAAAATAAATGACGTTAGATCGATGAGGTTACTAGAAGACTTTTTTTTTTTTTGAGATGGATCTCACTCTGTTGTCCAGGCTGGAGTGCAATGGTATAATCTCTGCTCACTGCAACCCCTGCCTCTGAGGTTCTAATGATTCTCCTGCCTCAGCGTCCTCAGTAGTTGGGATTACAGGCGCTCACCACCACACCCAGTTAATTTTTGTATTTTTAGTGAAAACAGGGTTTCACCCTGTTGGCCAGGCTAGTCTCGAGCTCCTGATCTCAAGTGATCCACTGCCTCAGCCTTCCAAAGTGCTGGGATTACAGACGTGAGCCACCACACCCGGCCAAAGACATTTTAAACAAAATGAATTTAAGAATGCATTTAGGAATACTGGAACATTTAATCGTTTACTTAAAAATGCTCCCCTGCACCTGGAAACTGATACAGGATGTATGCGTAATGTTTTCGATTCTCATTTTTCTTTTGCTATTTTCCCTTTTACTCCTTTCCTTTTGCCATTATAGATATATACTCCATTCCTTTAACACTCCTCACTTCATCCTGGTGATATAAAATAAAGATTGGAAGTTCCAGAAGTTTTCTTTTAGCTCATTCTATGATTAAACTACACACTTATTATTTAGGAAATCATAGTATACAGAGAGCTAGTACTTCCTAAGAGCTCTCAGGTAGCACATGGCTGTGTCTGGACTGCAGTTTAGCTCTCCTAACTTTAAGTTATGTGCAATTCCTACTACAACTGTCTCTTATTTTACCTTCTCTTCTGGGTAAATGATACAAATCCTTCCTCAACAAAATGTTTCAGGCAAGAACCCCAGGAGAGAACACCAGCAGATAATCTCTAGTTATACAAGAAAATGACAATTTCCACTACATCTTTGAGATATGAAGGAGGGAAGTATTCAGTAGCAAACCTGCATGCTGCTGGCTCAGTGGGTCTTTTATTCAATATTCATTAATTACTATAGCCTGGTGTTATGCTGGGCACTGGAGAGAAGGTGATAAACAAGATTCAGAGCTTATCTTCATAAAGCTCATAGCCTAGTGAGGCTTGTGACAAATACTTTTCTAGAGGCGTAAAATATATAGTAGACCAATGATGGTAAGAACAACTCTAGATGAGTGATTACACATGGATTCACAAAGGCAATGGTGTTTGCCCCATATTTGTCTTGTGTAAAGAGCCTAGAATGGCTTTACAGGCTAAGGGGGACACTGTGGTATTTTACTTAGACTCATCTTTTAGACCAAGGAAGATATCCTTCCATCTGTCTGGAGTTTTGGCTGTTGATGGCTTATAGCTGAATCTCTGTTGCTTGCATTCAGCCAAAGAAAGGTGCCTTGTTCAAGACCCACCCTCCATACCCCCCAGAGAAATACCACATTTAATGACAGGTCAGTTTTGTCTACAAAGTCCTGGTTTCTTTGCTTTAATTCAGAAAAATGGAAAATAAGATTTTCTAAGGTCTCTGTTTCAATGGTTTCACAGTTTAACTTCTCCTGCTACCCAATTCTACTTCTCTTACTCCTTTCAGCTTTTGTCCCATAGACCATGCTCCAGTAAACTTCCTGTGGCCCAAATATCCATCTCATAATCTGTTTCCTGGAGAACTTTATCTAAGACATAGAGAAAAGGAGTTCTTTGTTAAAAGTACCAAGAAGAGGCAAGAGGCAAAAGGCAATGGTTAAGCAGGCATAATGCATGGATTTGGTGGGGTTGGAGGGAAGGACTGAATATGTGGCTAATAGAGAAGAAGGGATCATAATGACCTTGGCTGGGGAATTCAGAGCTAATCTTGTGGACACTGGGAGGTCACTAAGAGTTTTCATTTGTTGTTTTTGTTGTTGTTGTTTATTTTTTATGGTACATGATGGAAAGAGAAAGATCAGTCAAATGGCCATAGGAAAAAACACAGATAGTGATTTATCCTAGCTCTGTTTCCTCTTCTATTATTAGAATTTTTATACTAAATTTTGTCTCTCATTTAAAAAATACTTATAAAAGATGTTGCAGTATGTAGTAAAAATAGTGAGATCATGGCTTCTGTTATCAAACTTTAAAAAATTACCTTTGACTCAAATTATAAGAAAAAAAGTATTTTAAGTTTCTTGTAACAGAAAGAGCACCCACATGGTGTGTCTTCCAATCATGGGGAATGAGAAGGGTTTTATAGGTGCAATGAGGTAGGCTTTGGTCAGGAAGATGTTGCAATCTTGCCGAAAGGAATTGTTTTCCTTTGCAATTTGGCCCATCTCAGTGCATGATGTCCTGTTTTAGGAACTGTGAAACTGAAGAAGGGATTTAGAGGGAGAGGGTTTATTCTGTTTTCTTGAGAGCAAGGGGGTTAGGGTAACCATGGAGCAATAAGTTTTGCAGGTCTTCATACTTAAGATGACTTAGCAAGAATTGGAAGGATGAATTCGGGGCTCTTGAGAGTTAGAAATGAAAGGATCCTTGGCAACTAGATGAGGAGGATGATGAAAGATGAGTCTTGGATGACTGGGGGCCAAGAATGAGTTGGGTTTAGATGATTGGTTGACAAGAAGTGATGATTCTTAGCCCTGATGTGTAGTGCTGCTGGGGAAGTGGATTTGTGAAAAGCTAATAGATTAAGCTAATGTGCTGAGTTTGAATTTTCTGTGTAGCAGAGTGCAGTGAAAAAGGCATGGCCACACTGTTTACTAGCTCTTTGATCTTAGGAGAGTGACTTACCCTCTTGGTGTCCTGAGCTGAAAAATGAAGACATGAAAGAATTCTGACTTCATAATGATGTTAAAATTGAAATGGAATCATGCACATGAAGCACTTCATACACTGAGGGTTAGAGAAAGTAAGTGATTACATCATACATATATATGATTGTTACATTCTGGTAATTAGTCTTTGACAAGAAAGTGAAAGGTAATTTGAATTGTAATAGCAAGTGTCAAGGGAGGTGCCTATCATGGTAGCAGTACAACTGACTTGTAGTTTTGACTAAAGTACACATAAATGCAGAAAGGTAAGTTTCACCCATATGTTATATGAAGTTTTATAGACGACCTCAGTAATGACATCAGATAAATATTTCTCCCTATTAAAAATGAATATAATAAATAAAATGTCAGAAAAAAATTTACAGAATCTCTTTTATGTGTCTTATCTTGTGTAGGTGGTGGAAATACTGGGGCAAAGAGTACAGTCATAGTCACTGCCTTCATAGACAGACTCATGCCACAGTGCTCCTACCTTCTAAATGTAATGATTAAATACATGGATAATTACATTAAGGAGCCAACTCTGGTGCCTCACACTCCTCCTCCTGCCTGGATCACAGCTGGAGAATATAAGTATAAATTAATACATTTATCGCCAAATACTTAACGAGCATCTTTTGTATTCAGGGCACAGTACAAGGTACTTTGGAAGCTCCTGAGACAAATTAATCAAATATTCTCAAGGAGTTTCTGATGTACCGTGAGTAAAATATATACATATAATGAAATTACAAAGTAGAAAATGTCCTACACTATAAAAGAGAAAAATTCTGCAGGGATCTTGAGAAATATGGAATTGTTTTTATTTGAAAGAAAAAAGGTCTTCAATGATATTTTTCCTGGGACTTAATGAGTGAGACGTCTTTGGATATGATCTGAAAGTCTTTCCATATACTATTTTCATACACTATTTCTCTTCTTCCTCCCTGGAGTTTGTAATTCAAGGTGCCACCATGAGAAGATTTCTGGATGCAGGGTCAAAAAGATCTGAATTCTAGTCCAGTTCCTTGTTTTTCCACTTACGTGTATCTAATACATAGAATCATTATCTTCATGCAAATCTTACATTTTAATAAGCACATCTGTGCATTTTCTGTCTCTTGACTTCGGGAGGAACCACTTAGAATTCTGAGCTTCAGTTTCCTCAATAGAAAAATGGGAAAATTAACCCTTCTTTGTGTACATCTGAGGAGCAAGGATGTTAGGAATATGACAGTCTTGTACAAACTGTAAAACATCATATGGCCCTGTAGAGTTGTAATCAGAACAGTAAAGTCCTGGACAAATCAAGCAACTCATTACACAAAGTGTTGGATGACTGAGTTTTAAAGCTTCAAGCTCTTAATATACTATTCAACACCCTGAAAACATAAAGTTGAGAAAGGGGGAAAAAAGAAGGGAAGGACAGCGGCTTCTTCTCAGGGGACCCGAATGCCCATTAAAATGCATCTAGCAGGGGACATAAAACCAATGAGAAGGAGCAATTTACTTTTACTGCTGGGGCAGGAGCCATGCAACTATTTTTACTAACTACGGCTGTTCCCGTCTATTAGAGTACCTAAAATATTTATGATCACTGTCTCTGTGTGAAACACTGTCTGTCGCAAGCAGAAACATTAACCTGTGTTGGAATGTGTTTGTTGTCATTTTCTTGTCTGATAATTAATGCAGTGGAAATAGAGAGGGGCTGAGCAAAATTCTCATATAGCACATGAAGAAAAGAAAAATGAGGAAGCCGTGGCACCATGCCAGGGGCAAGAGCTTTGCCAATTTGGCATTTTGCCTACCTAGACTGGGGGATTACCCTGTAGTATATTAAAGTATCAGCTTTTTAATTTACCAAATTATTTTCCAGATGTTTTTGGCAAAAAGGGACTTCTTGGCAAACATTTGAGTACTTGTCAGAGAATTACACACTTAATATTACACTACTTATTATTTTAATTAATGACAGGAAGAAGTTTGCTTGAAGACAATTCTTAGCCACGCAAAAAAGAATGTTAATATTTTATGAGGTGAGGAAATTATCTTTAACACTGAAATGTTCAGAAATTATAACAGAAGGAATATTACTGGAAAAAATGAGCTGGTTGTAGTTACATTTACTGTTAGCAATTCTGACAAAAAGAGATCATAAGGAATATTGATATTCAGGCAGCATGCTGTAAGATTAGCAAGAACATATGTGAAATTAATATGTTCCACGCATAAAAGGTCAATAAATAATAGTTCAATTAGAATTTGAGAATAGATGTAAAAATAGTGTTGGATGCAAGTGACATCAATCCTCATCTCTGGTCTGTTAGCAACTTTGTGTACTAATGTTCCTGCTATCATTTATTGAATGCTCTCTATGTGTCAGGCATTCTGTTAAGCACTTTACACAAATGTTAGAACTTGGAACAACTACTTGTTATGCTCAGGAGAGTGAGTTTCCTGGAATTTAAATCATTTGCTCAAATGCACTGAGCAAATAAGTGGTTGAGCCATTCCACAGTCTAAGTTTTAAACTGTGTTATCATTACCTTTCTAAATCATTCAGGAAAAAAAGAAGCTGAGTTTCTCCATCTTTCAAAAGAATCAGCTGCCATAGGAATTCTAGTTGGTGCCATCCATTTTTGGGGTCTCATATTCTACACGTATTTAGTTCGTTCCCTCTGCCAGTCCCTCTGCCAACCAATGATCAATTTCACTTCAATGTACTTATTAAATCCATGCTTAAAGATACCTGCTGAATGCTCTCCCTTTTGCCCCTTCCAAAATTTCTAGCTACTTAGAAAGCCTTCCTGCCACCTCCACCTCCTGAGTAGCTATGACTATGGGCCATAGCCTTATTGTTTCCAACCAGAAACATCTGGAAAATAATACAGTAGCATTTCTAGATACTTCTTCAATCTAACCAGGGTGAAAGAAATGAAACATACATATCTTGAGACATATAAACTTCTTTTTATAACAGTTTAACCTCACAAGATGTTAAGTTGCCTATTGACACCCTTCTGATTTTTATCACAATGGTCAGTTGCTGGATCCTCTTTTTGTTCCTTTTTAACTGGCCACCACTTTGATAGCCTTGTGAACAAAATTGTGTTTTTGCTTTGTTTTGTTCTGTATTTTGAAGGGTTACAACCTTGGTTTTACTAATAATGTGGGTCTTTTTTTAAATAGCTGAAGTGTCACTTTTTTGCCCAAGCTGGAGTACAGTGGCTTGATCATAGCTCACTGCAGCCTTGACCTCCTGGGCTCAAGCAATCCTCCCACCTCAGCCTCCTGGGTAGCTATGACTACAGGTGCACTGACTCTAATATATATATTATATATATAGGTGCACTGACTCTAATATATATATATATATATGTATTGTATATATATATATAAGATCTTGCTATGCTGACCAGGCTGGTCTCACACTCCTGGCCTCAAGGAATCCTCCTGCCTCTGCCTCCCAAAGTGCTGCAATTTACAGGCGTAAGCCATCAGGCCAGGCCAATGATGTGGATCTTGAGAAATGTGACTATTGGTGGTAACAGTATCCATGTTAGAGGACTATTCCTTTTTGTAATAAATTAGTACGAAAGCAAGCAAGACATCTAATGTCATGCTCACACAGTTATATTTCTATAATAATTTCTTGAGTAAGAGAAAAATGATAGAGTTATAGCTAGCATGCACAACAGTGGGCACATTAATATAATTTATATTTCACAGATATAAAAATCAAACATTGTTTTATAGTAGAAAAAATTTAAGAATGGTGGCTATATCTAAATGTGAAGATCAATATGACTTCTTTCTCAGTCTTTTAATGTTGAACTCATCCAATAATGACTGCCAGCCTCAGCTTTCCTTAGAGTAGTATCATGGAGTATAAAATTAGTAACACCCCAAAACTCCGCTCAATCTGAACCAACATTATCAGTGTACATGGAGAGTCACCTCCGTGCTCTACTTCCACATTCAAAGTCACAGCCTCAGCCAGTCGTGGAGTTCTGCTTACACTCCTAGCTCTCCCTTCCCCTGCACACTTAGCTCATCTTGCCACCAACCCCAACACCCACTTTTATATTACTTTTCTTAATTACTCTGTCCCTTAAAATGAGCTTTTATTCTTTTAAAAATAATTATTTCAGCATTTGGAAAGAACAGCACAGAGTATACTTTATGATTTAAGGGATTTATAAGCAAAATTTTACTTTTAAAACTCAATGCATGAACTGTTTGAGCATTCAGTTGCGTCGTTTTCTCAGCTGTGTAGAGAAGGCAAAGATAAATGCTGTTTTCATTATTTAATGTGAGTGCTCACATATGATTTAAATAAATATAGAATCTGAAATATTTGTTATATTTTAAGGGATATTTGATATGCAATTTCAGGACATGAGAACCAATGTCTAGCTATTATAATACTTGACTTGTCATTTGGTGTTAATATGCCTAAAACATGTGTTGTCAAGTTCCATAATAACAATTTTTTTTGCCAGGACTCCACTTCCATCCAGGTCCATGAAAGGTGACTTCTATCAATACCATGAAGGAATTAAACCCCAAAAAAGAGATTCAAGTACATTCCCACGATAACATTTCATATTCGGTCAGAAATATACAGGTAAACTGAATGTAACAGGAGCCACTCTCAGTTAATGAATAAATATACCAGAAAAGACTGGACTATTTCCCTAACAAATTGACCTCTGAATAAAGACAGACCTTTAAGCATTTTAAAGAGAGCTGGTTGCAGAGAATAAACTGCCTTAAAAAGATTTCCAGTTGGAAGCTGTTCTGTTTGTCCATTTTTCTTTTCCCCAAACCTGCCTTGCCAGTCATTCAAGCCATAGCACCTGGTATTATATTTTACCATTAATAAAAGATGAGGTATTTCAAAGAGGTCAGGACAGTGTTTTAATTGCCTATTGCTTCCTAACAAATGTCCTCCAAACTTAGCAGCTTAAAACACTAAGCATTTATTATCATGCAGTTTATATGGTTTGGGAAACCAGGGATGACTTAAATTGGTGGTTATGACTCAGGGTCTCTCATGAAGTTTCAGTTAAGCTGTTGCTTAAGGTTCCAGTCATCCCATAGCTCAACTGGGGATGGAGATTCTGCATCCAAGATCACCTATACTCATATTGGCAGGCCTTTGTTCCTTGCTGGCTGTTGACTGGAAGTCTCTATTCCTCACTATGTGCTCATGATGGGGCTACTTGGCAGGGCAGTTGGCTTCCTAAGAACAAGGAATCCAAGAGTGAGAAACATGAGAACAAGAAAATATCAAAGACAGAAACCAGTCTTTTATAACGTAATCTCAGAAGTGAAATAATACCATATGCTTTGGATCACACAGAACCAAACTCTAACATCATGGATGGACTATACGAGATTGTGAGTACCAAAAAGCAAGGATAATTGTGGGTCTTTGCAGTGGTCACCTTGCAGACAGGTGACCACAATCTCCCCTTTGACCCCCAATGATTCCTTTCCCTCAAACATGCAATATATATGCATCCTTTCTCCAGGCACCTCAAGTTATCATTCTATCAAGCATCAGCTCAAATTCTAGAATCTCATCTTCTATGTCAGACCCGTATGTTGGAGAAGGTTGCTAAGGCTCAGAACTCTCAGTAATCCTTCCTGTATCATGAAAGGCACCACATGTTTGCAGCCGAGTCATTTTCTTATTCTGCTTCTTGTCAGTAGAAATTGGAGTGTCTAAAAGTTTTTCATTTTGCACTCTATCAACTCAGTTCAAACTGACTGTTTCTGCATTTATAGTGATTGTAAAAGTTTTATGGATCTTCTGTGAATCTTTTTGGCATCTATTTCATCAGCAAAAACAAAAACAGAAACAAAAAACCCACACTCACAGGTATCTCTGTGATAATCCTTTACCTTTAGCTTCTGCTAAGATTGCTGAGGACAGTGCCTTTAAACGTCCTAGAAGCTGATTGTTGCATATAGAAGATATGTGTACACCTTCAATTCCTTTAAAAGATGTTTTGTCTGACCTAATCGTATTCTGTGATACCACGTTTGATCTTTCTGAGGTCTTAAAAAGAGATTTTAGAGTCATACTTTCAGTTTTATCTTTGGACCATGTTTTGCTATCTGTAGAGTCTGAGAATTTTCAAACCCAAGTTTTAGATATTTTTTGTTTCACTGTCCTTGTATTTTATCTATCTCTTCTTACATTTTACTATAAGCACCAAGAAACCAGATGGCAGGTTCAGCATTCTGTTTGGAGATCTCTTTAGTTAGATTATCTTGTTCATTAGGTACTTTTACCATATTCCACATAATTGCAGGCAACAGTCTTGCTAAAATGTCTGTGACTACTTAAAAAGGATGCCTTTTCTTCAGTTTCCAATAGCACTTATCTGACTTTCTAAAGCCCTCATTTACAGCTTTATCAGAGACCACAAGTCTTCTAGTAACATCTTCACCAAGAAACAGGGCTTTTACTAACGCTCTTCTCAAGTTCCACCTCCAAGTTCCAAAGCCCTGTCCACATTTTTAGATTTTTGACACAGCAGTACTCCACATTCAGGCACTCAAATCTGTTTGGGTATAAATAGTTTGCTACTGCCACATAACAAATTACCTCAGAACTTAACAGCTTAAAAATGATATATTTTTTTTTAATCTCACAGTTCTGTTTATCCAGAATCTGAATATGAACAGTTTGGCTGTGTGGTTCTGGCTCATCGTCTCCATTGAGTTTGCATTTAAGTTGTTGGCTCCACTGGACATGGAGAATCAGTTTCTAAGTTTACACGCATGGTTGTTGGTAGACCTTGGTTCCTTGCTGACTGCTGTTTAGAGGCTTCTGTTCCTCACCACATAGGCCTCTCCATAGGGCTATACAACATTGCAAGTGAAGCAAGTTCTAGAGAGAGTGTGTGTAAAGGAGAGAGTGCTCACAACAGAAGCTGTAGTCTTAGAACTGACATAGCTTCATTTATGCCATGTGCTGTTGATCACACAGACCAACCCTGGTGTGATTTAGGAGGAAAATTCACAGCACATCAATGCCAAGAAGCAGTAAAATTTGGGGACCATCTTGGAGGCTTGCTACCACAAGTTTCCAGCCATAGGCAGAGCTCAGGACATGAGAGAGATAATATAGAATGATAACATCTCTTTATTAAGAGAGTATTTTGAGTAAGTTAGCTAAAGCTTTACTGGGAAGACACCCAGGAAAGCTTCACCAGAGAGCCATTCTCCACCACGACAATACTCCTGCTAATTCCTCTCATCAAATAAGGGCAATATGGCGATGGTTGCAATAGGAAATCATGAGGTATCCATCTTACAGCCCTGAGTTGGCGCCTCCTGATTTTTTTTTTCTTTCCTTATTTTAAAGAGTCTTTAAAGAACGCCCATTTTTCTTCCATTAATAATGTATAAAAGACGTCATTGACATGGTTAAATTCCCAGCACCCTCAGTTCTTTAGAAATAGACCAAACAACAGGTATCATCACTTAAAAACTGTCTTGATTTTGATTGAGTTTCTGTTGAGAAATAAAGTATATATTTTTTATTTTTATCTTTTAATTCCATGTTTCCATAAAATATACTTGAAGTCATCTCATATATACTCAGCATTAAGAAATGATCTGGAGTAGTCAAGTCAATCAATAGTTTTATAAAGATAGATTGGTGGATGGGTAAGTGGAGTTTAAGGGTGGGTAACAGATTCCTGGAAACTTTCCCTAAGTACACTAATTCAGAGAATTCTTTTTTCTTCTATAATTCCCCAAAGCATATTTATATATACTAGTTCTATTTCTCCACTTTATGTACTTTATTATATCTCTCAATTCACGGATATATACTTACCTAGGACCTACAACTAAAATCTACACCGAAAAAGTGTTAAAGATATATTAATAATGTGGCTTAATTAAAAAACTAAATAAATGTATTGAAGTGTGCTTGTTTAAACAATATTCTAAACAACCATTTTGATATCCAATTTATCCACAGTTCCATTTATGCACGCATAAAATATTGACTCTCCAATTGGTTGACCTGATAAAGGACTGCAATTAAAATAGAAAATGACTGTTTAAGAACTTGCATATTAATAGGTTTTATGTTTTAAAATAACTCCCTCATCAACTCTCTTTGTATCAAAATTTCAACTTTGCTTTTGAAGTTATGGGAGTCTAGTTTTCCAGTTCACTTTAATGCTGGAGATTTCTGAGTTCTGAAGTACTTCAGCTCTGAATAAGCCTAAGACACTTTCAGATTCCCAACTGAATTTAACTATTTGAAGAAGGTATGAAAATAAAATTAATAAATGAAGGGAGGCAGCATAAATATGCTGTATAGCTTTATTCAAGAGAGCAAAGGCTCTCTGAGAGTGGCTAAAGAATTATTTGATATACAGCTTGGTTTGATGTCACAGTGAGCAGTTCGGACAAATCTAAACATAAGCACTTTCTTTATGTCAAAATTATTAAGAACCATTTATACTTTGGAAGCTATTTTTCTGAGATTATCAGTATCTTATTTAATGTGTGTCTCTTTTATCATTTCTTAAAGTAAGGACTCTTTTCAAAATAATTCTGATGCCTTGATACCAGAACTCATATTGAATAAAGCTCATATTGTCTCATTCTCGGGGATGTTACAATTATCTGTCATATAAGCATGTACATTTTAGTGTCACTGAAGAAGTTTCACTGGACATAACACAAAAACAATTCCACTTTAGTAAGAATTTTTGTTTTCTTTTTTCAATTAAGCACTTTTTTTCTGTTTAATGATTCTCTCTGAAAAAGAAAATTATATAATCACAGTTTTTTTCTTCTTCTCCTTTTAACCTCAGACAACTGAGGTACAGTGATTATGTTGACTGGATTTCAGGATCTGTTATAATTATATATTTGTCTCCTGTGAATGACAATATAAACCCTTCCTCTTGCAGTATTGAGGAGTTATTTTCAGTCTTGATAAAATATTGCTCCTTTTAACACACGCGATGTTTTACATTTGCAAACTGCCATAGTCCTCATTTTTCTGCAGGTGTTGTTGTTGCACAATGAGTATGGAGATTCTCTTTGTCACTTGCTTGATTAAAATAATCGAAAACATAAAGTGAAAAAATCTTCCAATACAATTCATTCATTAACATAGCTTTCTTTTATGAGTATTGTTCTTCCAGTAGCTTCACAAAGAATATTAGTCTGTGTGTTCTCAGAGGTGATTTACAAAACTCATTAAAGATATGAAAATTATTTTAGAAACTATGTAAATTGAATTTAGAAGGGATGGTAAATCCTATATATGATTTTAAGTAGTACACATATCATGTGAAGCAAAGCTCTTCCATAAATACAGAAATATGAAATTGGATTTTCCAAGAGAGATAAAATTTCTTCTGTTTTTCATGCTGTTTTCTAAATTTGAATTCAGAAAATATTATCATCCTATTTAGAAAAGAGAATTTGGAAAAGCATATGAAGTTTTTATTTACTAGACCAGTTGTGCCATTCATTGGTTCTGGAATTCTACATATTTTAGGGCAAAGCTAATCTAGTCCTTTTTTTCTGTTTGCACCCAATGGCTAGCTCCACTCTGAAAGAGAAAGTTATCTAAGTGGTTCACTAAGTTCTATTTCTGTCTATGCCTTTTCTATTCCTGTGTCCGTTGTTACTTTTCTGATGGCAATTGTCACATTGAACTAAAATTCCTCAATACTATGATCTCTGTGGTCTTGAGTTGTCACATGAGTTGTCTGTACTAGAACACTCACATTTCTTGATCTTACTTGGGCAATTCCCAATTATAACTCTTAATTGATCAGAAATTTCACAGTGTAAGTGGCATCTAAACGGAATAGCTCGTCTGCTTGCTCTCATAGTCTGCTACCCTTCCGTGGACCCTATCACATTATATTATACTTTCCTTTTTCTTGATCAAACTTTGTTACTGTACTGGAGGCAATGTGAAAGCAAGTACAATATCTACAATATCTACCATGGCACTAGACATTGCTTTCTTTACACCTCAGAAAAAAAAAATCAATAATATTGTTAGCTGCCCTAAAGAATGAGTGAGCAAAGAAAAGATGCAGTGAGTTTGAAAATTTTATCTCAGTTTTCTCTTCTTAAATACTTGGATAAGCTCACTGGTTTGTTGGGAATGGTGTCAGCTAGTTGTCTGTCTCCAAGTCTTTTGTTTCATTCTCTTCCTCCTCCTTGGGAATACAACTGTGATATTATTCAGGGATGAAATGTGCTTATTCTCCCAATCTGGTCAAGAGATTGTGTTCTGGCTAATGTAATGTTAGCAGAAATGTTGCATGGGATTTCTGTGCAGGTTAAAGTTTAAAGGTGCTGTCTCACATAGAGGACCCCTCTTTGCCCCTCTGCTTTTTCTCCACTTCTGTTCTGTGCAGAAGGAAGTTGGCATTAATGACTGGAATTTCAGCATCCATCTTGAACCATGTAGTGGTCTTGAAAATAGATGAGGCACTGGATGGCAGAACAGAAAGATGGCACAGCTTGAGTCCCGGGTATCACTATGAAGTCAACAAGTCAGCTCTGGACTATGTTCAAGCTTACTTTATATGTGTGAAAATAGACTTTAATTCTCTTTCAGCTCATGTTATTTTGCAATGTTCAATTATGCAATGGAAAACTGAACTTAAACTATTGGTGTGAAATTTTACTGAAATCCATATGAAAAGTACTAGTGTCACTTTATACAGAGAGAAGAAAAGAGAGGAAGACAAGGAGACAAAGTCACTATTCTTTCTTTTGTTATTCTCCAGGAAACAATCAACTAACTTAATGAAGAAGTAAAAGAAATCTTATATAACAAAGTGTGTAGAACGTGAACCTAATCTTTGAGAAAATTCAAGTTGTTGCTTATTCTAAACTTACCAAGATGTTAAGAGAAGCTAAACAAGTTTTCTTCTGCCTAAAAAGATAACAGAGTAGTGTGATCTTTGTAGAGTTATAGCCTACAAGTAACTTAGCATCATGATATGTAGACCAGGCTTCTTTGAGTGCAGTCATCATAAGCCCAGTGGATGAAGATGGATAAAATCTGAAGGACTGATGCATAAACTATCTAAGTTTCCTGCACCTAGATGTTTAAGGAAGTTTTCAAACAAAGTCTTCTCTGTCTCTGTATATTAAACAGTTAATCAATGAATGCTAAGAGATAGCCCAAAGTTTAGAAGGGCAGCTGTTTTCCCTCATCCAATGGAACTAGGTAGCAAGACACCTGCTTTTTACTTTCTGTCATCTTTATACTCACCAGAAAAATCATGGGCTAATATCAGAATCCCTGCCAGTTTTGCAAGTTTTAGAGGTCCCAGGTGAGTGTGAACTCAGTCTAAGCTTCCACCTTCAAGGTTTGTTCCCTTAGTGGAGTGAAAAGAACAATGTTTATCTCTTGAACACTTATAGTAAGACAATCAAAAGGAACTATTGGAAATGTTCCTTTTATTGGAAATGTTTAATAATAGAGGCTTATCATTTTTTGATTGCTATAGTACTAGCTAATAGATTATTGTTCTGAATACACATAATGCATATTTTTGTTAATTCCTTGAAATGCTTATTGATAAATATTTGATTGTTTGTATTAACATCTTGTCCTTGAATTCAAAGGCACTATTTTCATCACGTCCTCTTCTTCTTCAATATGTTAAAATATAAAAAAAAAAAAACCAGAAAATATCACTAGACTGCCCCCAGTGTTACTCCAGAGCAGAATGTGTGCCTTAATGAAATTTACATTTCAAGCAACAAACACAGTGTCCAAATCACTGTGGTACTCAAAAATATGCTGACCTGATTGTGGAGTACTTAAAACATTTTTGTATAAATTTGTTACAACATATTAAACTCTAAATTGATATCTTGTTTCTGATGGTTCAGGCTTTTCCAAGAAATCCACATAGATTTTCCTTCACCTCTCAAATTATCATCCTTAGTCAGTATTGATTAAGTATCTTCCTGAGCTCTGTTACTTTGTACACACTGTGCAAAGCAAGTTCAATCAGCATAGTTTCTTCTCTTAAAGAGCCTTACACCTAAGAGACACCCAGTTCTGAAGGGATCCGAGGCTGCACATGAGTGTTCCATTTTTCAGCCCAGCGAAAGGGTATTTGCGAAACTAAAGAAGGAGGATGGCACAGAATTGAATAGGAGAAGGTGGGGTCAGCGTTTATCTGGCTTTAGGTCTCTATGCAATTCAAAAATGGGAAAAGACTGCAAAAGTAAATGTTTATGTAAAGTGTTAGAGAACACAGTATTGTTTTAGTTGAAAAAAAAGTTTAGCTCTGTCTAACTTGGAGGTTTACTATACTGCTTTGGAAATGGCTGAGCACACAGAGAACATTAGCTGAAGATGCAGTATCACTTTGTCTCTTCATGGCCTAGTTTATTATTACAATTACAACTAGTTAAGGTCTTATACTTAGGAATCTCTTCCCCTATATCAACTTCAGTTAAAACATGTGTGGATAAGAGTAAAAAGCTGTGGATAGAAGGATAAATTCAAATACTTTTATAGCACTTCTTTCATGAAATTGAACTCTGTAAAAATCTAAACATTTTAAAGATAATAATGGTGATAATAAGGATGTTAATAATGATGGTGATAATACTGTTTTCAGTCCGTATTTTGGGCATGTACTATTTTAAGCACTTTGTAACAATAATCTTATGTAATCCCACAATAATTCTACAAAATATTTCCAAGTCTCCAAGTTAGCCTGACTAGCCATTTTTCTTGAGACTTATATTTTTTCTTCACTGTAAACCCTCAAACCCTCAATTAGGCAAAAAGGGTTTTGTGATGGTGTCAGATATAATGTTGTCTTGAATTTCCCTTTTCTGTTTGCAGACAATTTATATGACCCTCTCAAAAGTTTGTTGTGTTGTTTGCTGATGATTTGATCCCAGAGGAAAGAATAAAATAACAAAAATTTGTCATACATTTTATAGAATTGCTTCTCATGGTAGTGAACCATGAAAATTCAATATCAATATTTGAAGTTTTCACAAGCCTACTTAAAGAAAAAAATGACTAAAATACAGAAATAGTAATTAAGTTTTAAAATATTTGTTTGAACAATTATTTCATTGTTTTTCTTATAATAAATTAACCTCTTGTGTCTCCTCTTGTAGGTTATTGAAACCTTGGGATTATTATCATTTCTCATCTTTACATAGTTTGCTTAGTACTCAATACATATATGAAATTGTAGTATTCTTTTTTTTTTTTAACCTACTAATATAATAGCACAGTTTCTACTTGAAAACAGTCTTCCTCTAAGGAACAAATTGACGGAAAATAATGAAACTACATAAATTAGAATAAAAAAACAGTTAAATTACAAAATGCCAGGCTGTTATGGCCAGTAGAGTATGAAAATATTTACTGGTGAAAAATAAATATCATAAGTGCATTACAGTGATATATGTACACTGTTCAAAGAATTCGTTCAAAAATATATGCTAGCCTTTAAAAATGAATATTCTGCTAAGTTCTAGAATAAAAATAGCACCATTTGTTGAATGATGAATATGAGATACGCTAGCAGTGCTTTACATACATTATTTTATTTAACCCTTGTATAAACCAAATTGTTCTAAATATGTTTTTGCTTATATTAACTTTGCTAAATTCTTTGATGTTAATTGTATTCTTCTAAACTATCCCTTTATGAAACTGCTATAAATTTCTGAGTATAACATGCTCCTTTGGCCTTTCTAAAGACAAATCAAAATGACTGGATGGTGACCAAAGTGAACAGATAGGATATTTATTTTTGTGTTATGTAATGTATGAACACTTCACTCTTTATACCAAAGAATATGTCATTTGAAATAGAATGTACATTGTTGTTTCTCTCAGATACAGCTTACTTAAGATTCTAAATTCCTAATGTTACTGTTTATGCAATTAAAATTTTTTTATATGAATTTGAAATGGTGCACCAAAGCAGAAATTTATATTATAGGGTTCAAACCTATGATGTTGCTTTCCACCTAACAGATAGCCAACAATTAAAGCCACTAGTGGAATTTCAAAAATATATAACAATGTATACAAGAAATAATTATATTGAACTCGTTGTCCAAAATAAAGTAAATTTTAAGATGGGTAATACTTTTTAAAATTTATGCAAATACATTTCTTATTACATGGCTATTTGGGCCCTATTGGTTTTACCATAGGTTGATTACAAAATTGGTCCTTTTTTTTCCTTTTCCTATATTCAGACCCCATGGAGTGCAATTTTGAATCTCCTCCCATCAAGAGGTAGCATGTTGTTTCACCATCGCTTGTATTTATACTGTCTTTGTGATTTATTCTGGCCAACAGAATGCGTCAGATGCAATGCTGTGGTTTGTGCTTTCTTAGAGTGCGTTGGAACTATGCCATTGCCATGTAAATAAGCTGAAGCTTATCTGTGGGAAGACGGGACATAAGTAGCCCAGTCAACTCATTGTCCAAGCTGACTGCCATCCCATCTCCAGGCACACAAGTGAAGCCATACTAGAGCAGTCAGTTCCTGCCAGTGTTGAAGCAACACTGAGCCAGACCAAATCAACCCTGAGGACCTGTGGACTCAGGAGCAATAATGAATACTTATTTTTCAAAGCTACAGATTTTGGGGGTGACATTTTTTTACAGCAAGAGCTGAGTGATATAGAATTTATATAAGAAAATGTCTTAACTCATTTAGAGGATAGCAAAAACTGACTTACAAAGAAGCACTATAGCAATCAAAAAATTCTGTCTCCATTATTAAGACTGTCTTGTGCATTTCCAACAGTTGCTTTTGATTGCCTTACTATAAGTGTTCAAGAAATAAATATTGCTTGTCTCACTCCATAAGGGAACAAACCACTGAAGGTGGAAGCTCAGACTGAGTTCACACTCAACTGGGACCTGTGAAACTTGCCAAGAATGACAGGGATTCTGATATTAGCTCATGATTTTGCTGGTGAGTATAAAGACCACAGAAAGTAGAAAAACAGGTGTCTTACTTGTTCCATTGGATGAGGGAAAACAGCTACCTTTCTAAACTTTGGGCTATCTCTTCGTGTTTATTGATTAACTGGTTAACATACAGAGACAGAGAAGACTTTGTTTGAAAACTGCCTTAAACATCTAGGTGTTGCAGTGAATTCAACAGGAGGCTGTCACAGGACAATGGGGCTTCTGCTTGGAGGAAAAAAAGATCAAGGTGCAGGAACATCATTTATCAATATATAAGTATGAAGGCAAAGATGGGAAGTTTCAAGGGAAGGTATTTATCATGAGATATTGTTCTATTAAGCTGGCTTTATTTTGGTTACGTCAAGTGATTGATGTGCAGTAGATGTAATCATTTTGTCGAAAAGATGTTAGCCCGGCAATGTGTCAACCGTTCAGTGTACCATTATTAAACAGTGGCATTCTGATTGACTTCCAAGCCAGAGACTTTCAACCTTCTGTTAATCAGAAATAGGCAATCCAAAAGCAAAAACCAAGGCAAAAGGAGTGACAAAAGTACTCAATAGATCTTTAAACTGTCAAAGAAAAGAACCCAATTACATTAAGTACATCTTATTGTTACAGAAAAGGTAAAAAAGCAAAAACCACACATACTAAGCAATAAATGAAAAATAATAAATTCATTGTTTTGTCACTTTAGGCTATAATTGCCTATTGTTATCTCCCTAAAGGAAGGTAATTAATCTTGAAATCGTTGATGATTTTAAAATGTAAATTTCTTTGAGTAAATTGAATAGTAGAGTCCATATTTTTTAAAAAGCTATTCTGATCTTGGACCTTATTATAACTGAACTTCCTTAATTTGCTGGCATTTAGAGAAAAAAACAATTTTTTACTTTGACATGCATGAGTCTTGAGGAAGAAGGCATTTGTTTTTTGTGTGTTTGTTCGGGGTTTTGATTTTTTTTTTTTCTCTTGGAAATGCAAGCTATAACTTGGCTGAATAATGGAAAATATGGAAGGTCATGAGACTCATTTCAGGGTATATATTCATATAAAAGCAGAATGTAGGCATGGAAAGATCCATAACTGATCAAAAAAATACTTTACACTAGAGGTAATTATCTCTGTGACTTTGACTCAGTCTTATAGCATCCTTTGGCCTTTATTCTCTCTGTGGTGAGCATAGGGCCTGGTCTAAGATAAAAAGCAAGTGAGAGACTTCCCTTGAACACAAAATTTAAGGGACACCAAATATCCAGCATTCAAAACAAACAACATTTTAATGCAATACGTTCTTTTCTTTTTTTAAATTATACTTTAAGTTCTAGGGTACATGTGCACAACGTGCAGGTTTGTTACATAGGTATACACGTGCCATGTTGGTTTGCTGCACCCATCAACTCATCATTTACATTAGGTATTTCTTCTAATGCTATCCCTCCCCCAGCCTCCCACCCCCAACAGGCCCCGGTGTGTGATGTTTCCCATCCTGTGTCCATGTGTTCTCATTGTTCAACTCCCACTTATGAGAGAGAACGTGTGGTGTTTGGTTTTCTGTCCTTGTGATAGTTTGCTGAGAATGATGGTTTCCAGCTTCATCCATGTCCCTGCAAAGGACATGAACTCATCATTTTTTATGGCTGCATAGCATTCCATGGTATATATGTGCCACATTTTCTTAATCCAGTCTATCATTGATGGACATTTGGGTTGGTTCCAAGTCTTTGCTATTGTAATTATTGCTGCAATAAACATACTTGTGCATGTGTCTTTATAGTAGCATCATTTATAATCCTTTGGGTATATACCCAGTCATGGGATCACTGGGTCAAATGGTATTTGTAGTTCTAGATCCTTGAGGAATCGCCACACTGTCTTCACAATGGGTGAACTAGTTTACAGTCCCACCAACAGTGTAAAAGTGTTCCTATTTCTCCACATCCTCTCCAGCACCTGTTGTTTCCTGACTTTTTAATGATCACCATTCTAACTGGTGTGAGATGGTATCTCCTTGTGGTTTTGATTTGCATTTCTCTGATGACCAGTGATGATGAGCATTTTTTCATATGTCTGTTGGCTGCATAAATGTCTGCTTTTGAGAAGTGTCTGTTCATATCCTTTGCCCACTTTTTGATGTATGTTTTTTTCTTATAAGTTTAAGTTCTTTGTAGATTCTGAATATTAGCCCTTTGTCAGATGGGTAGATTGCAAAAATTTTCTCCCATTCTGTAGGTTGCCTGTTCACTCTGATAATAGTTTCTTTTGCTGTGCAGAAGCTCTTTAGTTTAATTAGATCCCATTTGTCAATTTTGGCTTTTGTTGCCATTGCTTTTGGTATTTTAGTCATGAAGTCTTTGCCCGTGCCTATGTCCTGAATGGTAATGCCTAGGTTTTCTTCTAGGGGTTTTATGGTGTTAGGTCTTATATTTAAGTCTTTAATCTATCTTGAGTTAATTTTTATATATGGTTTAAGGAAGGGACCCAGTTTCAGCTTTCTACATATGGCTAGCCAGTTTTCCCAGCACCAATGTCCATCAATGATAGACTGGATTAAGAAAATGTGGTACATATACACCATTTATTAAATAGGGAATCCTTTCCCCATTTCTTGTTTTTGTCAGGTTTGTCTAATGGATCAAAGTCTATGATTAACACAGTATCAAAATTGGTTTGTTTGTTTGTTTCAGACAGGGTTTCACTCTGTCACCCAGGCTGGAGTGCAATGGCACAATGTCGGCTGACTGCAACCTCTGCTTCCCAAGCGCTAGTGATCCTCCCACCTCAGCCTGTCAGGTATCTAGAAGTAGAGGTGTGCACCACCATGCCTGGCTTATTTTTTTAATTTTTTGTAGGGATGGCATCTCACTAGGTTACCCAGGCTGGTCTTAATCTCCTGCGCTCAAGCAATCCTCATACCTCAGGGTCCCAAAGTGCTGGGATTACAGGTGTGAGCCACTGTGCCCAGCTATCAAAAATTTTAAGACAGGATCAGTATTATTGAATTTTCCTTTTGCTTCAGGAAATGTCTACACCAAATTTTGTGGATAACTTTGTAGCTCAACGTATTTTCACCAAAAAAACACAGTCCTTGAAATGAGCATTCAGATAAAGAAACAGAGTATAACCAATATGTCCAGAATCTCTTATGTGTTTTTTCAGTCACTCCTACTCTTTCCTCAAGAGTTACCAAAATCTTGCCTTTTAACATTATCAGTTTCACCTATTTTTGAAATTTAAATAATTAAAATCATATAGAATGTTCTGTTTTGTCTGGCTTCTTTTGTTCAATATTATGTTTCTGAGATTCAGCCATATTTGTGTGCATTTATAGAAGGCATAGTCTCCTTGCTGTATAATGTTCCATTGTGTGCATATATCAGACTTTATTCACTTTATGACTAATGGACATTTGAGTAGCAAAAAAACAAAAACCAAACAAAATCAAAACGATGTTTATGAGCATTGTTTTCCTTTGTCTCCTTTTTTCTAACAGCACCTCAGTTGTCATTTGGGAATCTTCCACTCCTACATTCTATATTGTGCTAGTGAGACTCCTATAATAATTCCCTTCCTCCATCTCCCAACTATGGTGAGTTCAAGACCTAAACTAAAACAATTCCTACAATTAATTCTTAACATAATGACACACAGCAGATGTCCCAATGCTATAAAGAGATTGTGCATTAGTACTTGTTACAGATATATTTCAACGTGTGATTAGTTTTCTCTTCCCAGGTATTTAGGTGTTGTATTAGTCCATTTTCACACTGTTATAAACAACTACCTGAGACTGGGTAATTTACAAATAAAAAAGGTTTGATTGACTCACAGTTCCACAGGCTTAACAGGAAGCATGGTTGGAAGGCCTCAGGAAACTTAGTCATGGCAGAAAAGGAAGAGGAAGCAAGCACTTCTTTACCATGATGGAGTAGGAGAGAGTGAGTTCACTAAGGAGGAAGTGCCGCACACTTTGAAACAACCAGATCTTATGAGAACTCACTCACTATCAAGAGACCAACAATGGGGAAGTTCACCCCCATGATTCAATGATTTCTCACAAGCCCCCTCCCCTGACACGTGGGGATTATAATTTGAGATGAGATTTGAGTGGGGACACAGAGCCAAACCATTTCAAGTGTTCAGCTTTACATTTGATTCTGTGAGTTACCTAGTGACCTTTCAATCAATTGCTTGAAAAGATTAAGCTAGCCAAATTATGTTTTTGTTTCTTGCATCAAAAAGAACCTTGACAAAGAGAGAGAAGTTAAAGCAATTCACATGGGAGGAAAGAGACAGTAACCTGAATAATCATACAAAGTAGAAAATGTAAACCTGTGTTACTTTGTATATTAGTTCATTTCCACTCTGCTGATAAAGACATACCTGTCAGGCCTCTGAGCCCAAGCCAAGCCATCGCATCCCCTATGACTTGCACCTATACGCCCAGATGGCCTGAAGTAACTGAAGAATCACAAAAGAAGTGAATATGCCCTGCCCCACCTTAACTGATGACATTCCACCACAAAAGAAGTGTAAATGGCCAGTCCTTGCCTTAAGTGATGACATTACCTTGTGAAAGTCCTTTTCCTAGCTCATCCTGGCTCAAAAAACACCCCCACTGAGCACCTTGCGACCCCCACTCCTGCCCGCCAGAGAACAAACCCCCTTTGACTGTAATTTTCCTTTACCTACCCAAATCCTATAAAACGGCCCCACCCCTATCTCCCTTCACTGACTCTCTTTTCAGACTCAGCCCTCCTGCACCCAGGTGAAATAAACAGCCATGTTGCTCACACAAAGCCTGTTTGGTGGTCTCTTCACACGGACGCGCATGAAATTTGGTGCCTTGACTCAGATCGGGGGACCTCCCTTGGGAGATCAATCCCCCGCCCTCCCGCTCTTTGCTCCGTGAGAAAGATCCACCTATGACCTCAGGTCCTCAGACCAACCAGCCCAAGAAACATCTCACCAATTTCAAATCCAGTAAGCGGCCTCTTTTTACTCTCTTCTCCAACCTCCCTCACTATCCCTCAACCTCTTTCTCCTTTCAATCTTGGCGCCACACTTCAATCTCTCCCTTCTCTAAATTTCAATTCCTTTCATTTTCTGTTAGAGACAAAGGAGACACATTTTATCCGTGGACCCAAAACTCTGGCTCCGGTCACGGACTGGGAAGGCAGCCTTCCCTTGGTGTTTAATCAATGCAGGGACGCCTCTCTGATTATACACCCACGTTTCAAGGGTTTCAGACCACGCAGGGACGCCTGCCTTGGTCCTTCACCCTTAGCAGCAAGTCCTGCTTTTCTGGGGAAGGGGCAAGTACCCCAACCCCATCTCTCTTTGTCTCTACCCCTTCTCTGCTTTTTCGGGGACAGGGCAAGTACCCCAAGCCCTTCTCTCCTTGTCTCTACCCCTTCTCTGCTTTTCCAGGGACAGAGCAAGTACCCCAAGCCCTTCTCTCCTTGTCTCTACCCCTTCTCTGCTTTTCCGGGGACAGGGCAAGTACCCCAACCCCTTCTCTACTTGTCTCTACCCCTTCTCTGCTTTTCTGGGAGAGGGGCAAGTACCCCTCAACCCCTTCTCCTTCACTCTTAGCAGCAAGTCCCACTTTTCTAGAGGGGCAAGTACCCCAACCTCATATCTCTGCACCCCAATCCCTTATTTCCGCACCCCAACCTCTTATATCTCTGCACCCCAATCCCTTAATTCCACGCCCCAACGTCATATCTCTGCGCCCCAATCCCTTATTTCTGAGCCCCGACCTCTTATTTCTGAGCCCCGACCTCTTATTTCTGCACCCCATCCCTTATTTCCATGCCCCGACCTCTTATCTCTGTGCCCCAACCCCTTTTCCCACTTTTCTGGAAGGTAAGAACCCCCGAACCACTTCCCTCCATTTCTCTACTCTCTCTTTTCTCTAGGCTTGCTTCCTTCACTATGGGAACCTTCCACCCTCCATTCCTCCTTCTACTCCCTTGGCCTGTGTTCTCAAAAACTTAAAACCTCTTCAACTCACACCTGACTTAAAACCTAAATGCCTTATTTTCTTCTGCAATGCCGCTTGACCCCAATACAAACTCGACAGCAGTTCCAAATAGCCAGAAAATGGCACTTTGAATTTTTCCATCCTGCAAGATCTAAATAATTCTTGTTGTAAAATAGGCAAACGGTCTTAGGTGCCTGACGTCCAGGCATTCTTTTACACATCAATCCCTTCCTAGTCTCTGTGCCCAGTGCAACTCGTCCCAAATCTTCCTCCTTTCCCTCCCGCCTGTCCCCTCAGTACCAACCCCAAGTGTCCCTGAGTCTTTCTAATCTTCCTTTTCTACAGACCCATCTGACCTCTCCCTTCCTCCCCAGGCTGCTCCTCCCCAGGCCGAGCTAGGTCCCAATTCTTCCTCAGCCTCTGCTCCTCCACCCTACAATCCTTTTATCACCTCCCCTCCTCACACCTGGTCAGGCTTACAGTTTCATTCCATGACTAGCCCTCCCCCTCCTGCCCAGCAATTTCCTCTTAAAAAGGTGGCTGGAGCTAAAGGCATAGTCAAGGTTAATGCTCCTTTTTCTTTATCCCAAATCAGAAGCGTTTAGGTTATTTTTCATCAAATATAAAAATCCAGCCCAGTTCATGACTTGTTTGGCAGCAACCCTGAGACACTTTACAGCCCTAGACCCTAAAAGGTCAAAAGGCCGTCTTATTCTCAGAATACATTTTATTACCCAATCTGCTCCCGACATTAAATAAAACTCCAAAAATTAAATTCCGGCCCTCAAACCCCACAACAGGATTTAATTAACCTCACCTTCAAGGTGTACAATAACAGAAAAAAGTTGCAATTCCTTGCCTCCACTGTGAGACAAACCCCAGCCACATCTCCAGCACACAAGAACTTCCAAACTCCTGAACCGCAGTGGCCAGGCATTCCTCCAGAACCTCCTCCCCTAGGAGCTTGCTACACGTGCCGGAAATCTGGCCACTGGGCCAAGGAATGCCCGCAGCCTGGGATTCCTCCTAAGCCGCGTCCCATCTGTGTGTGACCCCACTGAAAATTGGACTGTTCAACTCACCTGGCAGCCACTCCCAGAGCCCCTGGAACTCTGGCCCAAGGCTCTCTGACTCCTTCCCAGGTCTTCTCGGCTTAGCGGCTGAAGACTGACACTGCCCGATTGCCTTGGAAGCCCCCAGACCATCATAGACGCCGAGCTTCGGGTAACTCTCACAGTGGAAGGTAAGCCCGTCCCCTTCTTAATCAATACGGAGGCTACCCACTCCACATTACCTTCTTTTCAAGGGCCTGTTTCCCTTGCCTCCATAACTGTTGTGGGTATTGATGGCCAGGCTTCTAAACCTCTTAAAACTCCCCAACTCTGGTGCTAACTTAGACAATACTCTTTTAAGCACTCCTTTTTAGTTATCCCCACCTGCCCAGTTCCCTTATTAGGCTGAGACACTTTAACTAAATTATCTGCTTCCCTGACTATTCCTGGACTACACCTGTGTCTCATTGCCGCCCTTCTTCCCAATCCAAAGCCTCCTTTGCGTCCTCCTCTTGTATCCCCCCACCTTAACCCACAAGTATAAGATACCTCTACTCCCTCCTTGGCGACCGATCATGCACCCCTTACAATCTCATTAAAACCTAATCACCCTTACCCCACTCAATGCCAATATCCCATCCCGCAGCATGCTTTAAAAAGATTAAAGCCTGTTATCACTCGCCTGCTACAGCATGGCCTTTTAAAACCTATAAACTCTCCTTACAATTCCCCCATTTTACCTGTCCTAAAACCAGACAAGCCTTACAATTTAGTTCAGGATCTGCGCCTTATCAACCAAATTGTTTTGCCTATCCACCGCATGGTGCCAAACCCACATACTCTCCTATCCTCAATACCTGCCTCTACTACCCATTATTCTGTTCTGGATCTCAAACATGCTTTCTTTACTATTCCTTTGCACCCTTAATCCCAGCCTCTCTTCGCTTTCACTTGGACTGACCCTGACACCCATCAAGCTCAGCAAATTACCTAGGCTGTACTGCCACAAAGCTTCACAGACAGCCCCCATTACTTCAATCAAGCCCAAATTTCTTCCTCATCTGTTACCTATCTTGGCATAATTCTCATAAAAACACACGTGCTCTCCCTGCCAATCGTGTCTGACTGATCTCTCAAACCCAAGCACCTTCTACAAAACAACAACTCCTTTCCTTCCTAAACATGGTTAGTGTGGTCAGAACTCTTACACAAGAGCCAGCACCACACCCTGTAGCCTTTCTGTCCAAACAACTTGACCTTACTGTTTTAGCCTAGCCCTCATGTCTGCGTGCAGCGGCTGCCACTGCTTTAATACTTTTAGAGGCCCTCAAAATCACAAACTGTGCTCAACTCACTCTCTACAGTTCTCATAACTTCCAAAATCTATTTTCTTCCTCACACCTGATGCATATACTTTCTGCTCCCCGGCTCCTTCAGCTGTACTCACTCTTTAAGTCCCACAATTACCATTGTTCCTGACCGGGACTTCAATCCAGCCTCCCACATTATTCCTGATACCACACCTGACCCCCATGACTGTATCTCTCTGATCCACCTGACATTCACCCCATTTCCCCAAATTTCCTTCTTTCCTGTTCCTCAACCTCATCACGCTTGATTTATTGATGGCAGTTCCACCAGGCCTAATCGCCACTCACCAGCAAAGGCAGGTTATGCTATAGTACAAGCCACTAGCCCGCCTCTTAGAACCTCTCATTTCCTTTCCATCGTGGAAATCTATCCTCAAGGAAATAACTTCTCGGTGTTCCATTCTGCTATTCTACTACTCCTCAGGGATTATTCAGGCCCCTCCCTTCCCTACACATCAAGCTCGAGGATTTGCCCCACCCAGGACTGGCAAATTAGCTTTACTCAACATGCCCTGAGTCAGATAACTAAAATACCTCTTAGTCTAGGTAGACACTTTCACTGGATAGGTACAGGCCTTTCCTACAGGGTCTGAGAAGGCCACCGCAGTCATTTCTTCCGTTCTGTTAGACATAATTCCTCAGTTTAGCCTTCCCACCTCAATACAGTCTGATAACAGATGAGCCTTTATTAGTCAAATCAGCCAAGCAGTTTTTCAGGCTCTTAGTATTCAGTGAAACCTTTATATCCCTTATGGTCCTCCATCTTCAAGAAAAGTAGAGTGGACTAAAGGTCTTTTAAAAACACACCTTACCAAGCTCAGCCGCCAACTTAAAAAGGACTGGACAATACTTTTACCACTTTCCCTTCTCAGAATTCAGGCCTGTCCTCGGAATGCTACAGGGTACAGCCCATTTAAGCTCCTGTATAGACGCTCCTTTTTATTAGGTCCCAGTCTCATTCCAGACACCAGACCAACTTAGACTGTGCCCCAAAAAAACTTGTCTTCCCTACTATCTTCTGTCTAGTCATACTCCTATTCACCGTTCTCAACTACTCATACATGCCCTGCTCTTGTTTACACTGCCGGTTTACACTGTTTTTCCAAGCCATCACAGCTGATATCTCCTGGTGCTATCCCCAAACTGCCACTGTTAACTCTTGAAGTAAATAAATAATCTTTGCTGGCAGGACTATGCTGAATCTCCTTAGGCACTCTCTAATCAGATATCCTGAGTCATCCCAATTCTTAGACCTTTTATACCTGTTTTTCTCCTTCTGTTATTCCATTTAGTTTCTCAATTCATCCAAAACCGTATCCAGGCCATCACCAATCATTCTATACGACAAATGTTTCTTCTAACATCCCCACAACATCGCCCCTTACCACAAGATCTCCCTTCAGCTTAATCTCTCCCACTCTAGGTTCCCACGCCACCCCAATCCCGCTTGAAGCAGCCCTGAGAAACATCGCCCATTCTCTCTCCATATCACCCCCCAAAAATTTTCGCTGACCCAACACTTCAACACTATTTTGTTTTATTTTTCTTATTAATATAAGAAGGCAGGAATGTCAGGCCTCTGAGCCCAAGCCAAGCCATCGCATCCCCTGTGACTTGCACCTATACGCCCAGATGGCCTGAAGTAACTGAAGAATCACAAAAGAAGTGAATATGCCCTGCCCCACCTTAACTGATGACATTCCACCACAAAAGAAGTGTAAATGGCCAGTCCTTGCCTTAAGTGATGACGTTACCTTGTGAAAGTCCTTTTCCTGGCTCATCCTGGCTCAAAAAACACCCCCACTGAGCACCTTGTGACCCCCACTCCTGCCCGCTAGAGAACAAACCCCCTTTGACTGTAATTTTCCTTTACCTACCCAAATCCTATAAAACGGCCCCACCCCTATCTCCCTTCGCTGACTCTCTTTTCGGACTCAGCCCGCCTGCACCCAGGTGAAATAAACAGCCATGTTGCTCACACAAAGCCTGTTTGGTGGTCTTTTCACACGGACGCGCATGAAATTACCTGAGACTGAGACTAAGCAATTTACAAAAGAAAGACGTTTAATTGGACTTACAGTTCCATGTGGCTGAGGAGGCCTCACAATCATGGTGGAAGGCAAGGAAGAGCAAGTCACATCCTATGCAAATGGCGGCAGGCAAAGAGAGAGCTTGTGCAGGGGAACTCCTCTTTATAAAACCATCAGATCTCGTGAGACTTATTCACTATAGTGAGGACAGCAGAGAAAAGACATGCACGCCCCCATGATTCAATTACCTCCCATTGGGTCCCTCCCACAACACAAGAGGGGAATTCAAGAATGAGATTAGGGTGGAGACACAGCCAAACCATAACATTCTTCTCCTGGACCCTCCCAAATCTCATGGCCTCACATTTCAAAACCAATCTTGCCTTCCCAACAGTCCCCCAAAAGCCTTAACTTATTTCAGCATTAACTCAAAAGTATACAGTCCAAAGTCTCATCTGAGAGAAGGCAAGTCCCTTCTGCCTATGAGCCTGTAAAATCAAAAGCAAGTTAGTTACTTCCTAGACACTACAGGCATTGGGTAAATATAGTCATTCCAAACAGGAGAAATTGGCCAAAACAAAGGGGCTATAGGCCTTATGCAAGTCCGAAATCCAGTGAGGCAGTCAATCTTAAAGCTCCAAAATGATCTCCTTTGACTCCACCTCTCATATTCAGTTCAAGCTGATGCAAGAGGTGGGTTCCCACAGTCTTGGGCAGCTCCACCCCTGTGGCTTTGCAGGGTACAGCCTCCCTCCCGGCTGCCTTCGTGGGCTCATGTTGAGTGTCTCAGGCTTTTCCAGGAGCACGGTGCAAGCTGTCAGTGGATCTACCGTTCTGGGATCTGGAGGACAGTGGTTTTCATGTGCGTCCGTGTGAAGAGACCACCAAACAGGCTTTGTGTGAGCAACATGGCTGTTTATTTCACCTGGGTGCAGGTGGGCTGAGTCCGAAAAGAGAGTCAGCAAAGGGAGATAGGGGTGGGGCTGTTTTACAGGATTTGGGAAGGTAATGGAAAATTACAGTCAAAGGGGGTTTGTTCTCTGGTGGGCAGGGGCAGGGATCACAAGGTGCTCAGTGGGGGAGCTTCTGAGCCAGGAGAAGGAAATTCACAGGGTTAATCACTCAGTTAAGGTGGGGCAGGAACAAATCACAATGGCGGAATGTCATCAGTTAAGGCGGGGCAGGGCCTTTTCACTTCTTTTGTGATTCTTCAGTTACTTCAGGCCATCTGGGCGTATACATGCAAGTCACAGGGGATGCGATGGCTTGGCTTGGGCTCAGAGGCCTGACAGTGGTCTTCTCACAGCTTCGCTAGGTGGTGCCCCAGTAGGGACTCTGTGTGGGAGCACCACCCCACATTTCTCTCCTGCACTGCCCTAGCAGGGGTTCTCCATGAGGACCCTGTCCCTAGAGCAAATTTCCTGCCTGAGCATCTAGGCATTTCCATACATCTCCTGAAATTTAGGTGGAGGTTCCCAAATCTCAGTTCTTGACTTCTGTGCACTCTGAGGCTCAACACCATGTGGAAGCTACCAATGCTTGGGGCTTCCATCCTCTGAAGCCATGTCCTGAGCTGTACCTCAGCCCCTTTTAGTCAAGGCTGGAGAGGCTGGGATGCAGAACACCAAGTCCCAGCACAGGGACCTTGGACTGGGCCCACGAAACCATTTTTCTTCCTAGGCCTCTGGGCGTGTGATGGGAGGGTCTGCTGTGAAGACCTCTGACCTGCCGTGAAGACATTTTCCCCATTGTCTTGGGGATTAACATTGGGCTCCTCGTTACTTATGCAAGTTTCTGCAGCCAGCTTGAATTTCTCCTCAGAAAATGGGATTTTCTTTTCTATTGTATTGTGAGGCTGCAAATTTTCCAAACTTCTGTGCTCTGTGTTCCTTTTAAAACTGAATGCCGTCGGGGCGCGGTGGCTTATGGTGGCTCACGCCTGTAATCCCAGCACTTTGGGAGGCCGAGGCGGGCAGATCACGAGGTCAGGAGATCGAGATCATCCTGGCTAACACGGGGAAACCTCGTCTCTACTAAAAATACAAAAAAAATTAACCAGGCATGGTGGTGGGCGCCTGTAGTCCCAGCTACTTGGGAGGCAGAGGCAGGAGAATGGCATAAAACCGGGAGGTGGAGCTTGCAGTGAGCCGAGATTGTGCCACTGCACTCCAGCCTGGGCAACAGAGTGAGACTCCGTCTCAAATAAATACATAAATAAATAAATAAATAAATAAATATGCCTTTAACAGCACCCAAGTCACCTCTTGAATGCTTTGCTGCTTAGAAATTTCTTCTGCCAGATACCCTAAATCATCTCTCTCAAGTTCAAAGTTCCACAAATCTCTAGGGCAGGGGCAAAATGCCTCAAGTCTCTTTGCTAAAACATAACAAGAGTCACCTTTGCTCCAGTTCCCAATAAGTTCCTCATCTCTCTCTCAGACCACCTTAGCCTGAAATTCTTTGTCCATATCATTTTCAGCATTTTGGTCAAAACCATTCAACAAGTCTCTAGGGAGTTCCAAACTTTCCCAAATTTTCCTATCTTCCTCTGAGCCCTCCAAACTGTTCCAACCTCTGCCTGTTACCCAGTTCCAAAATCACTTTCAGATTTTTGGGTATCTTTTCAGCAGTGCCCCACTCCACTGGTATCAATTTACTGTATTAGTTTGTTTTTATGCTGCTGATAAAGACATACTCGAGACTGGGCAATTTACAAAAGAAAAAGTTTTAATTGGACTCACAGTTCCACATGCTTGGGGAGGCCTCACAATCACAGTGGAAGGCAAGGAGGAGCAAGTCACATCCTACATGGATGTCAGCAGGCAAAGAGAGAGAGCTTGTGCTGGCAAACTCCTGTTTATAAAACCATCAAATCTGGTGAGGCTTACTAACTATCATGATAACAGCATGGAAAAAAACTTGCCCTGGGTCACTCCCACAGCAGGTGGGAGTTCAAAATGAGATTAGGGTGAGGACATGGCCAAACCACATCACCTTGTATATAGAAAGATTTTAAAATTCCCTTAGAATGTGCCACACTATGAATTAAAAGTATTTTAAAAATCCAACAAACATTTATGATTTAAATAGAATTTTAATCATCATGGCTGACATCTTGTCTTTGGAGGCTTTGGAAAATGATGACCATGACTTTTTCAAAAGTCTACCCAGATGTTTTATAATATATATTTCAGCCTTACACAAATAATGCAATATGTAGTGTCCTGCCACTGGCCTCTCCTTAGGGACTACAGTATCTGGTAATAGAGCTAGGCTTTAGTGTGGTTTTCCCAGAAACCTGTCTAAAACATGATTGGGCATGACTTTAGGGGAGCACAAAGCATGAAATGTTTGTTGGTAGCAGCATGGAAAACAATCTATGTCATATTTAGTTTTCTGTTCCTGAAGATTTGGAAACATTTTTTCAGTCTTTAAAGAGAAACACAATAGTTCACCATGAAATGTTGCAAAAGAAGTTGTCAATCTAATGAGACTCAAAGTCACTCATCTCTTCTGAATACATGGAAAAAAAGTAATCTATTATTTTGATAGGTAAACATTCCCATATTTTTTTCTGCCTACATATTTTTCAGCTCTTAGATAAATCATATAGGCCTGATAACTGAAAACTTTCCTATGGCATAATATTATCTGAGAAGCTGTCAAGCATAAGAACATATATAGAAATCATGAAGATTGTCACTGTGAATCTAGTCCACTTCACCTCTGTTCTTTTGGGTAGAAGAAAAGGCTACTTGCTATAAACCATATGTGCTAGTATGGCATTTTGCAATAAATAGCTCAATATTCAAAGGTAGATATTTTGTAGTCAATTTTAGAATGAGCTTTAAACATTTAAATGTAGAAGTGAAAAAAATGGAATGTGTTATCTATTTTTCTCTACTTAAAACAGGTTGGATAATTTGGAAGCATCTGTCAGCCTTCTTAAATAATTTCAAAGCTAGTCTCTGCTTGCAAGGAAAGTGTAGGATGCTGGCTAATTTTAATACCATCACTTAATATTCATTCTACCAATAAATAATGGGCCAAAACTATTTAGACATTAATTTGGAATTTCCACATACAGAATCAATTGATTCATCTAGATGCTTAAAGTGTATCAATTTATCTAATTTTCATGCTAAACTGCTAATAAACTCTGCATTTTAATTGAGATTGAGTTTGATTTCAATCAAGAAATGTGAGATATGAATTCAGTGGCTGTGACACCTTGGGAAAGTCAGTCATTCTCACTAAGCACTTGTCTTCATATTTGACCCTAGGGAATACAACAGTACCTATTTCGTAGGGTAGATGTGAAGATTAAATGAGATAATATATGTACGGTGACTGGAAGATGAATGAGGCTTTATATGCTTTTGTGTTATGCTCCCTCCAATCTCAAAACCTTTACATTTACTGTTTCCTCAGTCTAAAATGCCCCCTATTCCTCTTTACTTTTCATATAGAGAACGTCTTTTGATTCTAATTGCTTCTGAAATGCCCTGAGCTTCCAGACCACGTCTGGTTCTCATACTGTGCACATTCATATCTGCCTCGATTTCTCATAGGCATTGATCAGATAATCACGTGCCTATTTCTCATAGGCATTGATCAGACAATCACATGTAATTTGTTTAACTTAAATCAACTATAAATTCTCGGATGATAGGACCCATATCTGTTTATTTTGTTTCCCATTAGATCACAGAATTGAATTCAGCAAATGGCACATGGTGAAGGTATAGCCTCTTCCTTAAGAGGCTTCTCCTCCACCAAAGACCAAAATCCCCTCTGCTAGTTCTTCTTTTTATTAACAGAATGGTAGCAGTGATCTAGACAGCAAAGGATTCAGATCTCCTAAACAATCCCTGGGTGGAGATAGTTTAACCAAATCATAGGTAGCTCTACAAAGTTAGCCTCTTGGTCTTCAGCTTTAGACTTTGGTATGTTGGGTGGATTTTCTTCTGTTCTTTCAGGAAAGTGATCAAGTAACCCATGTTTTTTTAATTCACTGCAATTATGTCTTAACTACGAATTAAAACAATCACTCATTTTTTAAGGTTTCTCCCAAACCTCATTTTGTAATTCCAGCCATATCAATGATTGCTGTCCACAATCTAGGCTTTTTACATTTAACCTCATGAGCTATCTTGTTGGAGACAAGGGAGTGAGGGAAGTTATTATCTGTCAAATGACTGTATTATTAGGCATGTATGCCTAACCATTTCCAAATAATTGAAAAATTCTCAAAGCATCTAAATAGATATTTCTAATAAGATGATATTAATAGTTACAGAGTTAACAGAGTGACAGGTCTAATGTTACCCCCAGAGTCTGGATGAGCTACCAACCAATCTCAAACCTATCTAATTCCAAAACCTCCTCACAAGTTCCACAATAGATGACAGTATTGGTTGAAATTAGTACTTTTATGTTTTCCATTTGTCTTTTAGCACAGAAAAGACTACTGAGAGAAAGCTTCATATTTCTCAGTCCATGATTATGATTGTGCTACTAGTATGGCATCTGATAATCAGCTTTTCAATCAGTGTTAAGAATTGAATATCATTGCTGAATTTAACCAGAAAAATAGACAAAGTCTCTGCTTTTCATCCTGGAGTTTACTTTCTATTGGGGGAGCATATTTTTATATTTATAATTTTAATCATAATTTTTTCTTTTTTTAGATGGAGTCTCACTCTGTTACTAGGCTAGAGTGCAATGGCGCCATCTTGGCTCACTACAACCTCTGCCTCCTGGGTTCAAGTGATTCTCCAGCCTCAACCTCCCCAGTAGCTGGGACTACAGGCGTGCACCACCACGTCCAGCTAATTTTTGTATTTTTAGAAGAGATGGGGTTTCACCATGTTGGCCAGGCTGGTCTTGAGCTCCTGACCTTGTGTTCCGCCCACCTCAGCCTCCTAAAGTGCTGGGATTAGAGCGTGAGCCACTGCACCCGGCCTATGATATTATTTTTAAAAGAAAAAATAAGTATCCATGAGAGCACATAGAAAGAATCTAACCTGGTCTGAGAGAAGGAATGATTTTTGTGGTGATGGGATATTTAAGATGAGCCTCATAGCACTCTCTAGAGAGGGAGCTTGGAGAAACTTTTCTCTCCCTTTTCCCTTTTTCATAAATTACAGAGATCTAGGGTGGGAAGGAGTTTGGCCTATATGAAATGATCAGACAGTCGATGCCAACAGGACGAATAAAAAGAGTATCACAGGAGAAATAGTCATGGGCTAAACCAAACAGTGCACCTAAGCCTTAATTTTCTCATCTGTTATATGAGAATAATTTTCTCATCTGGAGCTAATGATGATTCTGTACATATGTGACAAAATTGCCAGAAACCAGGGACACTCTCCATTAAAAGGTATGCATAAAATTAAATTTCATATATAAAATGCTAAACAGCTACATTATGTAATATCATATACATATACATGAGTTATATAATGTGAGAACAATGCATAATACAACTATGCAAATAGAAAATGCCTCTCTGTGAAGCCCATGCTCTCAACACATGGAATGAAACTCAAATTTTTCAATGGGAGAGACCCTGATAAAAGGAAACTTGACATTCATACCATAACTCACAAGCTGGTACTGTAACAAGATTTTGAGCAGGGTTTATTTCAGGCCAATTTGAACTATTGAGTACATACCAATAAGAATGCCAGCATTCATTACATTTGGAGAGACAGATGGTTTGGACTGAGACAACCAATTAATGTAAAATGTGTTCTTTGTTGGCACTTACCACAAAGGAGGATCTTTTTTTGAAATACCTTCTTCTTAAAGTTTATTCTATTTTCAGACAAATGTGTCTTTATGTAGAAAGTCAGAGTACTTAAGGCATCTATGGGCAACATTTTACCTACTTTTTATGACATCTATAGAAAAAGCTAATTCATATTAGTTATTGCTTTTTTTTAATTTTAAAGAATGTAAAATAAGCTATTCACTTGAAATATTCTGATGTTCCATTAATCACATTTTTCATCTGGTAGGAAAGTATAAGGAAATTGCTTTTCCAAAGATTGCTTAATGAGGTCATTTCCTGCCTTCCTAAGAAACTTTTGTTAAATTGTGTTGGTGTCAGCGGATGTAAAAATTACTCTGAATTGTTTGAAAAAAAAACAAAACACAAGTGTACCCTTTATTTATGATACATATCCTTTAGGTCCTGGCTGTTTAGTCAAAGCACGGGAAACATTTTTATACTTTAAAATGTTCTAAGAGATATTTGCCAAATGTTCTATTATTCAAGAGTTATTGACGCTCAAGTTCACACTGACTGTTGTCACTTTACTCCCTTTCCCAGGTCAAAGCCCATGCAAAGAAAAACATGTCTGCCTGGAATGATAAATGATGAATAGGAGGTAGAGTTAGGGCATTATTTTGGTATCATTATTTTACATTAGACCATGAAAGCTAGAGTTCAGAGATTATACATTATGTTCTGAGCCAAAGTGAAATGAGAAATAAATTTTTTGAAATGTGGAAAGCAAATGTGATAACTTATTTTCATATAGCTTATCAACTTTTAAATGTTTTATTTTCTGTATATTTGATAATATACAGAATATATTAGTGCAGAAGTCCTTGTATATTATTTGCAAATAAAAATGCGTAAATTGGGGATACATGCTTACATATTTTACTGATGAGTACCTGCTTAAAAATGTTTAGATTGTTACTCATCTAGGCAATGGCAAACCAATCAAGTACATTAAACCTGAGATATTGCTTTTAGAAAATTAAAAAAAAAGAGGCAGTAGAAGAGGAAAGGAAAGAAGAGGAGGAAGGAATAATCACAATACCCATCACATAAAAATACATGTACATAGAAAATAAAATTATCATGTATCCAGAAATAATTCAGTAAATGAACTTTTAGCATATCAATTTCATAAACTGGAACAAAGATACTCTTTAAAGCAAGACCAACTCAGCTTGGTTTTACCACTAGAAGTGACATAGGCACTTGTGAAAAGTCATCTATGCCTCTGGTTTCATTGTTTTGTGATCTATTATGTGTTTTGTTTCTGCAGATTTTTATAGTTGTTAATGCGCAATACTAGAATATTATGTCTCAAAAATCCAAGAGAGGTGAGAATGTAAAAAGTGTAAATAAGAGTAGCATCCAATTCTTACAGAAATAAAGGTAGAAATGTAGGTGGTTAATGCAATAATTAACTCAAAATGGTGTGATTAATTTTATCTATGATTATGGCACAAATTTCTCAACAGAAAAACAATTTATAGAGGAAAAGAAATTTGTATAAAATATGAATAGTCCTATGCTTAAGTTGTACAAAATAGTATTTCTGGGGAGTAGAAATTTTTTCTTTTCATTTTCTGATTTCAGAAATTATCAATGTACACATATTTTTGGACAACATAAAAGAACAGGGTGCATTCAGGGCATGCAGTTTCTAAGAAAATATAAATGTCATGGCTAGAACATGAAATTATAATTTAAATGAAAACCAAGCTGTCTGATTCCAAAGCTTGCCACTAACAAGCTGTTAGACATGAAGAAACTACTTAAACTCTCTGGTCTCTAGGTCCATTATCCACTCTATGAGAATAATAAAACCCAGTTAAGAGCACTTCGAATGATTCACGTAGAGTCCCTAGCTTGTGGTGTAAGGGAGTCTTCAACAAATGACAACTATTATTGAAAAATGCCTTCTAATCTCTAATCATAACAGTCAATCACCAGAATAAAAATATTAGGCAGAGAGATATTTCACAACATCTCACACTTAGCAAGGCACAGAATTATTGTTACCTTTGTTACCTTTTTTGCCTCCTTTTTATTTAATTCCATTAATTTTAATAGGAAATGCAGAAGAAACGCATTTCTAAGGGGAAAAAGAGAGCAGTTATTATACATTTGTTTATTATTTTAATTTAAGAAATTGCGGGTACATAGTAGGTGTGTATATTTATAAGATGCATGACTTATTTTGATACAGGCATACCATGCTTTATAATCACAACAGAGTAAATGGGGTATACATTGCCTTAAGCACTTACGCTTTCTTTGGCTTACAAACAATCCAATTATATTATTTTAATCATTTTTAAATGTACAATAAATTATTGTTCCCTGTAGCCATCCTGTTGTGCAATGAAACACTAGATCTTATTCATTCTATGTAACTATATTTTTGTACCGTTAACCATTCCTACTTCCCCTCCCCCAACCCAATACTCTTCCCAGCACTGAGAAAAAAATCTTTGCCCAGTCTAATGTCCTGGAGAGATTGATTCCCCAGTTTTTTTTTTTTTTTTAAGTAATTTCATAGTTTTTGTTCTTAGATTTGAGTTTTTAATCAATTTTAATTTAATTTTTGTTGTTGTTGTTGTTTGAGACAGAGTCTCACTTTGCCACCCAGCCTGGAGTGCAGCGGCGCGATCTCGGCTCACTACAAGCTCCGCCTCCCGGGTTCAAGAGATTCTCCTGCTTCAGCCTCCCCAGTAGCTGCGACTACAGGCGCCCGCCACCACACCCGGCTAATTTTTGTATTTTTAGTAGAGATGGGGTTTCGCCATGTTGGTCAGGCTGATCTCGAGCTCCTGACCTCAGGTGATCTGCCCACCTTGGCCTCCCGAAGTGCTGGGATTACAGGCATGAGCCAACATGCTAGGCTGATTTGATTTCTTATATGACTAGAGATAGGAGTCCAATATCATTCTTCTGCATAATAATATCCAGTTTTCTCAGCACCATTTATTGAAGAGATTGTCCTTTCTCCAATGTATGTTCTTGGCACATGATATGGTTTGGCTGTGTTCCCACTCAAATCTTAAGTTGTAGTTCCCATAATCTCCACGTGTGGTGAGAGGGACCCGGTGCGAGGTAATTGAATCATGGGGATGGTTTCCTCCATGCTATTCTTGTGATAGTGAGTAAGTTCTCAAGAGACCTAATGGTAGAAATATGGGGCCTACCCTTCACTTGGCTCTCATTCTTCTCCTTCCTGCTACCATGTAAAGATGGATGTGTTTGCTTGCCCTTCCACCATGATTGTAATTTCTTGAGGCCTCCCCAGACCTGGGGAACTGTGAGTCGATTAAAACCTCTTTGCTTTATAATATACCCAGTCTCGCGCAGTTCTTTATAGCAGTCTGAGAATGGACTAATACAGCACCTTTGTAAAAAATGAGTTCACTGTAAATGTATGGATTGGTTTCTGGGTTGTCTGTTCTGTTCCGTTGGCCATGTGTCTGTTTGTATGCCAGTAACATACTATTTTGGTTACTATATCTCCGTAGTGTGATTTGAAGTCAGGTAACATGATTCCTCCAGTTTTATTCTTTTTCCTTAGGACAGTTTTGACTATTCTGGGTCTATTCTGATTCCAGAATATAAACTTAAAGGGTTAAGTTTATATTTAAATATAAATATAAACTTTAGGATTGTTTTTTCTTTCTGTGAAGAATGCCATTGCTTTGGATAGTATGGGCATTTTAATAATATTGACTCTTTCAATCCATAAACATGGAATATCTTTCCATTTTTTGGTGACTATTTCAATTTCTTTCACCAGTGTTTTATTGTTTTCATTGCACGTTCTTCATTTATTTGGTTAAGTTTTTTCCTAGGTATTTAATTTTATTTGTATCTATTATAAATGGAATTGCTTTCCTGGTTTCTTTTTCAGATTGTTTGCTGTGGGCATACACAAATGCTACTGATTTCTGTAAGTTGATTTTGTATCCTGCAACTTTACCGAATTTGTTTATCAGTTCTAATAATTTTTCAGTGGAGTCTTTTAGGTTTTTCCAAATATAAGATCATATCATCTGCAAACAAGGAAAATTTGACTTTTTCTTTTTCAATTTGGATGCCTTTTATTTCTTTCTCTTGTCTGATTGTTCTAGTTAGGACTATGTTAAATCACAGTAATGAAAGTGGGAATCTTTGTCATGTTCCAGATCTTAGAGAAAAGGCTTTCAGTTTTTCCCCATTAAGTATGATACCAGCTGTGGGTCGGCTCTGCATAGCTTTTATGTGTTGAGGTGTGTTCCTTTTGTACCCAGTTTTTCAAGGTTTTATTTTCACTATGAAGAGATGTCTAATTTTATCAAAGGCTTTTTCAGCATCAAGTGATATGATCATATGGTTTTTGTCCTCCATTCTATCTATATATATCACATTGATTGTATATGTTGAACCATCCTTGCATCCCTGAGATAAATCCCACTTGGTCATGATGAATGACCTTTTTAATGTGTTGTTGAATTTGGTTTTCTAGTATTTTGTTGAGGATTTTTGCATCAATGTTTATCAGGATCTTGGCCTATAGTTTTTTTTTTCTTTTGAAGTTTCTTTGTCTAATTTTGGTACCAGGGTAATACTGGCCTCACAGAATGAATTTAGAAGCATTCTTTTCTCCTCTATTTTTTGAAATAGTTTGGGTAGGATTGGTATTTGTTTTCCTTTAAATGTTTGGTAAAATTCAGCAGTGAAGCCATCAGGTCCCAGCCTTTTCTTTACTGGGAGGCTTTTTCTTACAGCTTTGATCTTGTTAATCGTTGTTCATTTGTTCAGTTTTTATTATTTCTTCATGACTCAATCTTGGTTGGTTGTATGTGTATAAAATGTACTCATTTATTCTAGTTTTCCAAATTATTGGCATATAGTTGCTCACAGTAGACTCTAATGATACTTTGAATTTCTGCAGTATTGATTGTAATGTCTCCTTTTTCATATCCAATTTTACTCATTTGGTCTCCTCTTTTTTTGTCTTAGTTGGTCTGGCTAAAAGTTTGTCAATTTCATCTTTTAAAAAATAATTTTTAATTTTGTTGATCTGTATTATTTTCTTCATTTAAATTTCATTTATTTCTGCTATGATCTTTACAATCACTTTTTTCTACAAATTTGGGGTTTGGTGTGCTCTTGTTTTTCTATTTATTTAAGATTCATCATTAGGTTGTTTATTTGAAGTTTTTCTACCAATTTGATATAGGTGCTTAAAGCTATAAACTTTCCTCTTAGCACTGCTTTTGCTGTATCCCACAGGTTTTGTTTCCAATGTTGTGTTTCCATTATCATTTGTTTCAAGGAAATTTTCAACTTCATTGTTAATTTCTTCATTTACCCACTGGTCATTCATAAGCATAGTGTTTAATTTCTATATATTTGTATAGTTTCAAAAATTCTTTTCATTATTAATTTCTAGTATTATTTCATCATGATCAGCAACGATACTTAATGTAATTTCAATTTGTTAAACATTTTTAAGATTTGTTTTGTGCCTAACGTATGTTCTATCCTTGAGAATGATCCATGGGCTGAGAAGAGTATTCTGTAGCCACTGGATGAAATGTTCTTTAAATATCTACTATATTCATTTGGTCTATGGTGCAGATTAAGTCCAATGTTCCTGTTTTGACTTTCTGTCTGGAAGATCTGTCTAATGCTTAAAGTGGGGTGTTGAAGTCTCTAGTTATTATTGTACTGGGGTCTGTATTAGTCAGGGTTCTCTTAGAGGGACAGAACTAATAAGACATATATATATATATATGTAAAGGGGAGTTTATTAAGTGTTAACTTACACCATCACAAAGTCCCATACTAGGGTGTCTGCAAGCTGAGGAGCAAGGAGAGCCAGTCCAAGTCCCAAGACTGAAGCACTCAGAGTCTGAGGTTAGAGGGCAGGAAGCATCCAGCATGGGAGAAAGATGTAGGATGAGAGGCTAGGTCAGTCTCATCTCTTCAAGTTTTTCCACCTGCTTTATATTTGCTGGAGGCTGATTAGATAGTGTCCACCTGATTAAGTATGCGTCCGCCTTCCCCAGCCCACTGACTCAAATGTTAATTTCTTTTGGCAACACCCTCATAGACACACCCAGGATCAATATTGCATCCTTCAATCCAATCAAGTTGGTATTCAGTATTAACCATCATAGTGTCTGTCTCGCTCCTTAGCCCTAATAATATTTGCTTTACATATCTTGGTGCTCCATTGTTGGGTGCATATATGTTTGTAATTGTTATATACTCTTGCCACATGGACCCCTTTATCATTATATAATGACCTTTTTTGTTTCTTTTTATAGTTTTTGTCTTGAAATCAATTTGTCTGATATAAGTATAGCACTCCTGCTCCTTTTTGGTTTCCATTAGCATGAATAACCTTTTTCCATCCCTTTGTTTTCAGTCTATACATGTCTTTATAAGTGAAGTGTGTTTTTTGTAGGCAACAGATCCTAGGTCTTGTTTTTTGGTTTTGTTTGGTTGTTTGTTTAATCCATTCAATCACTCTGTTTTTTGATTGGAGACTTTAGTCCATTTATATTCAATATTATTATTGATAAGTAAGGTCTTACTCCTGCCATTTTATTCTTTGTTTTCTCACTGCTTTGTTGTCTTCTCTCCCTTCTTTCCTTCCTTCCTGTCTTCCTGTTAGTGAAGGTGATTTTCTCTGATGGTCTGTTTTAATTTCTTGTTGTATGTTTTTTAATTTGAGGTTACATGAGGCTTGCAAATGATGTCTTATAACCCATTTTAAACTGATCACAACTTAACACTGATTGCATAAACAAACTAACAAGTAAAGAGAAAACTAATAAAATTTCCACGCTTTGGCTTTGTCCCCCTCCCTTTTTGACATTTTGTTGTTTCTATTTATATATTATTTTACTGTCTATATCTTTAAAAGTAACTGTAGTTATTATTTTTGCTTGGTTCATCTTTTAGTTTTTCTACTCAAGATATGAGTAGTTTATACACCACAGTGACAGTGTTATAATATTCTGTGTTTTTCTATATACTTACTATCACCAGTGAGTTTTGCACTTTCAGAGGATTCATTATTGCTCATTAACATCCTTTTATTTCAGACTGAAAAACTCCCTTGAGTATTTCTTGTATGACTGGTCTGGTGTTGGTGAAATCTATCAGCTTGTGTTTGCCTGGGAAAGTGTTTATTCCTCTTTAAGTTTATACTATTCTAGTATAAAAGCTTTTTTCCCTTCAGTACTTTAAATATGTCATGCCTGTCTCCTGGCTGGTCTGTAAAATTTCCATTCAGAAGTCTGCTGCCAAATGTATTGGTGCTCCATTGTATGTTATTTGCTTCTTTTCTCTTGACGCTTTTAGTATTTTTTTCTTTATCCTTGATCTTTGGGAGTTTGATTATTAAATGCCTTGAGGTACTCTTCTTTATGTTAAATCTGTTTGGAGTTTTATAACCTTCTTGTACTTGAGTGTTGATATCATTCTCTATGTTTGGGAAGTTCTTTGATATGCCTTTGATGAATTTTCTGTATCAATCTCTCTCTCTACCACCTCTTTAAAGCCAATAATGCTTAGATTTGCCTTCTTGAGGTTATTTTCTAGATGTCCTAGGCATGTTCATTCTTTTTTATTCTTTTTCCTGTTGTTTCCTATAACTGTGTATTTTCAAATAACCTGTCTTCAACTTCACTAATTCTTTCTTTGGCTTGGTCAATTCTCTTGTTAAGGGACTCTAATGCATTCTTCAGTATGTCCATTGCATTTTTCTACTCCAGAATTTCTTTATTTTTTTAAAGTATTTCAATCTCTTTGTTAAATTTATATGATAGGATTGTGAATTCCTTCTCTGTGTTATCTTGAATTTTGTTGAGTTTTCTCAAAACTGCTATTTCAAATTCTTTGTCTGAAAGGTCACATAGCTCTGTCTCTCCATGATTCATCACTGGTGCTCCATTTAGTTCAGTTGGTGAGGTCATGTTTTCCTGGATGGTCTTGATGTTTGTGGATTTTCATCAGTGTTTGGACAGTGAAAAGGTAGGTATTTATTATAGTCTTTGCAAGTTGGACTTGTTTGTACCTATCCGTTTTAAGAAGACTTTCCAGGTATTTGAAGGGACTTGAGTATTATAAACTAGGTTTTTGGTCACTGCTGCTATATCTATCTGAGGGGTACCCCAAGCCCAGTAAAGATGTGGCTCCTGCAGACTTGTAGATATACTGCCTTAATGGTCATAGATAAGATCTTGAAGAATTCTCTGGCTGAGTTTGTTCAAGGTTGTAGGATTTTACAATCAGCAGGTTGTGAAGCCAGCCTTACCTTCAGAGCAGTGAGTTTTCCCAGGTCTTTGTTGAGTCCAGAGATATCATCTGGGAACCAGGACCTAGAGTTGGAAACTTTAGGAATCTACCTAAGGTTTCTATTCTACTACAGCTGAGCTGACACCCAAACCACAAGACAAAGTTTTTCCCATTCTTCCCTCCCCTTTTCACAAGTAGAGGAGTCTCTCCCTGTGGCCACCACTGCCCCAGGCTTGCAGTGAGTACTGCCTGGCTGCCACCAATATTCACTCAAGGCTCAAAAGATCTTCAGTCAACTTTCAGTGAATTCTGCCAGGTTTAAGACTGTCCCTTTAGACCAGTGGGATTCCTTCTGGCCCACAGAATGTCGAGAAATGCCATCCAAGAAACAAATCCTAGAATTTGTGACTTCAAGACCCTGCTTGGTGTCCTACTCCACTGTGGCCAAGCTTGTACCTAAGCTGCAAGAGTCCCCTTTACTCTTTCCTCCTTCATTTTCAAACCAGCGTTCCACCTTATAGCCACCACAGTTGGGAATGTGTTGGGTCACACCTGAAGCCAGCATGTCTCTGAACCTCACTCAAAGACCATGGTGAGTACTACATGGGTACCACTGCTCACCATTCAGGACTCAAGGGCTCTTTAGTCAGCAGGTGTTGAATCTTGCCAAGACTGTGTCCTTCCCTTCATGGCAATAGATTCCCTTTTGGCCCAGAGCATGTCTAGAAATGTCATCCTGAAGCAAGGTCCTGGAATGTGGGCCTCATGACTCTGCCCAGTACCCTATTCTATCATGTCTGAGCTGGTATCTAAGTTGCAAGACAAAGTCCTGTTTACTTTTCCCTCTCCTTTCCCCAAGCAGTAGGAAGGAATCTCTCCTGGAGCTGTAAGCTGCACTACCTGGGGATAGGGGAGAAGTGGCACAAGCACTCTCTTGACTAACCCAGCTGGTGTCTTATTGTCATGTGCCCCCTCAAAGTCCACTGGCTCTGGGCCCCGCATAACAACAGTAATTGCCCAGGAATTGCATTACTTGTGGCCTAGACTATTTTGGGGGTTTATTTAGAACCTCAGAGCACTTTAGCTCACAGTGGTGAGGCCTGCCAGAACTCAGGTTCTGACTGATGAGATGGGTGATTCCCCTCTGGCTAGGGATGGTCTACATGCTCTCTTCATGGGCGCTGGCTGATTTCTGTCTGGTGTTGCTTTCCACTGTGATAAGGCAGCACTGAGTTCAAGTGCAAAGTCCCACAGTCACTGTGCTCGCTCTCTCCCAAATGCATAGATTCTCTCTCCATGCCATGCAGCTGCTGCTGGGGATGGGCAAGGGGTGGCATATGCAATTTAAGACTTTTTTCAGTGCCCCTTTCAGTGATATGAAGTTAAAACAAGGTACTGTAATGACTCACTTGATTTTTGGTTTTTATGAAGATGCTTTTTAGCTGTTCAATTTGGTGTTCCTACAGGGAGGATGATCAGTGGAGGCTTCTATTCAATTATCTTGTCCTGTCACCAATCTTCATTTGTTTATTCTTACATCATGATTGACTGAATTCTAATCATTTCATCTGGCTTGTAAGTGATGGTGTTTTGCCACAGCACATTGGACTTGTAGGGAAGCACTGATATGATCTTTTCATTATTTTTATTAGGATGACTTTGTAATGGTCAACCAAAAATGTGGATACATATTAGGAGTGTATATAAACTGTTAGTTATGGCTCTTATAGATGAGCAAGGATGTCCAGAAAACACAGTGAATGAAAAATAGACTTTTCAGTCATCACCAGATTCCATGAATGTGCCTAAGTTAAGAAAAATGGGGAGTACCTAATTTTAAAGTGTACAGAATAAGTTATATTTGAGATAATCTTAAGTATTTTGAGTATAGTTTGACAAAGATGTTTGGGGAGCAGGCCAGATCAATAATCTATCTCAGTTCTGGCAGTAAACTGGAACTAGAATGAGGGTGATACCTCAGATAATTCTTTAAAATTCCTTAATCTGATTGTTTCAACTCTCATTTTATCATGATTCTGTTTATTTTGATTTGTTTGGAATAAAAATATTTTTATTCTTTTTTTATACAATGAAATACATATTTGCTGAACCCGAAAGTTAATAAATGTCCTGGCGTTGACTCTATGTACTGAATGTGGGGAGTTTTATGTGAGCTTGTGTAGGTGTGTTTCTTCTTCCCGAAAACAATATGGATATGTCAAAGAGTATACCTGCTTTTGTTGATTAAGGGTGTCAACATATATTTACTGGCTAGGGGTGAGAGCACCATATAAAGATAACTCTATAAACATTTATTCATTTCTCCAGTGGTCTCAAATGCATGCTTTTGTGAGAGATATAAAGGTTATCTGCATGTAATGTCTCTAAACAAAGAGGTAGCTAATTGGCAGCCCCTTAATCCACACTGATAAGTCATCTGTTCTCTTACCAATCCCTACCTCTCCAATTTTCCTATATGCTTCTTCTCTTCCTGAGATAAAAGTAATTATCTAAAAGGGACTGACAAAAGCAGGGTAGTGTCAGAAGATTCTTTTCATAAGAGGAAGGGTTGATATTGTTGAGGCATTTTTCCAGTGGAGAGAACACCATGGTTTTGAAATCTCAGAACTGAGATGGAAGATAATAGATGAAATATACTTTCTCCAAACAAAAGAAGGGGAATTCTGATACGAAGAGTAAGCTCATTACCATCTAGAGGAAAGGATCAGAGAAACAAGCGAAAATATGAAAGTGTTTTAGGAAGAAGATTCAAAACAATCCATAGTCATGACATGCATTATAAATGATTATATTCCTTTAGCAATTTGGGGATATATAATACATTATTATTATCTATGGTCAGCATGCATGATAAGTTAGTGAGGTGAAGAATATGTTAATTAGATTAAAATTTTACACAGTATTTTCCAAATAGGTCAAAACATCATGTTGTACTCAAAGATATACACAATTAATAGTTTTCAACTAAAAATAAATTAATTTAAAAAGTTATTTCAAGAGCTTTTCTCCAGAGGTGGCTAACAGAAGCCTTCCTAAGATTCCTATTTATCATCAGTAGCCAATGCTTTGTTAACTAGTTTACTGAATACTGTCATGGAGTTTCACTGGGGGAATCTAGCAGCATCTTGTAAAGTAGGGTGATGAAATGAGCTCTCAATGGCAACATTAGGGTTAAACAAGATTTGTGACTTGACTAAAATAATTTAGAGAAGTGCTATTCAATGTGGAGTTTGTACACTAGCAGCATTGACATGACCTGGGAGCTTGTCAGAAATGGAGAATCTCAGGCCCTACCACAATATTCCTGAATTACAATCTGTACTTTAACAAAATGCCTAGGTGATTCATTCGCACATTAATTTTTTTCTTTTTAATTTAATTATATTTAGTTTTAGGTTTTGGGATACATATGCAGGACGTACAGGTTCATTACATAGATAAACGTGTGCCAAGGTGGTTTGCTGCACTTACCAACCCATCACATAGGTATTAAGCCCCACATGCATTAGCTATTTATCCTGATGCTCTCTCTCCTCCTGCCTCCCCTACAGGTCCCAATGTGTGTTGTTCCCCTCCCTGGGTCTATGCATATGCACGTTAATTTTAAGAGCAGTAGTTTAGAGGAATCTTTCACCCTTACAAGAACAAGTTATGACACTCTGGCAAATCTTAGGGATGATGGCTTGGGCTAAATACTGAATTAGATCAGCGTCTAGTCACAGCTCTTAGATTCTGATAGTTAAAGATCCTGCTTCTGGAATACTGACGTTTGCTTCATCTAAACCTTCTACTGAAAATGATGATAATGATTGTATCCCAAATGGAAACTTATATTCAAGGTAACAAAGTTAGCGTGATTAAATTCCCATGTTGATTCCAGTTTGTTTTTCCTGCTCTCATTGTTAATAGAGCCCTATTTTACCCTCACATATATCTAGATTTTGGAGATGGATTACATAACTACCCTAAAAGGTAATAAATATACATATGCTTATTAAAAATAAATAGATAAATAAAAACACACGAAATGAGCCCTTTCATGATTTTCATGTAAATCACATGCACACAAACATCTTCTTGGTAGCAATGGGTAATAGAAGACAGTTGAGGTTGATAGCGATAAGGGCTCCCCTAATGGGTGCTGGCTGCCTTCACATTTGTGCACCTAAAATTGTTTTCCAGGAAGAAGTGACAGCCCACCCCAGAGGAGCATTCAAGCCTCTGACTCCTGCAAGACAGATGCTTGCTTCCGAGTTTAAAATGACATTTCATTCCAGATTCTTCTCAATTTGACCACTAGGGTTTTAAGACTGTTGGGCCAAGTTTTATTCGGAATTCAAACTGGAGGTGTTGTGTTTTCCTTTCTCAGCATTCTCTGTGGGAAGAAACATTTGCTAGCTGCTTGGCCAAGCAGCTCCGTCTTTGATAATAGTAGGTGAGGTTTTATTTCTAACCTCCTTTTCTTAGTGTATGGAATGACTACAGTGACTCCTATGACACCTTTTTTTTTATAGGTAGTCTCACTTGCTTTTAAAAAACATCTCTACTTGCTTAAGCATAAGTGCTATTGCCTTTATTTCCTCCTACCATCTCATACATCTAGCAAACTCTTTAGCAATATTCTTTCTTTTTCTACCCCCAACAAATATTAAAAAAAAACTACTCAGAAGTAAAACAACAATTAAATAGAAGAAAATGCCAGTATCAGTCATCTAAAATAAAAAATATCAAAAGAGAGTATTTTGTAAATCAAAATAAATCTTTCCAACTCTATGGGCTCTCTTTGAAGTATTAGATATTTATTTTACACCAACCTCAAAATATTGTCTAGGAAGACAAATACCTAGACAAATGATAAGCATATTTTTGTAATAAATTTAAAAATTCTATTTCCCCCTGACAATGCCAGAAAAATAATAACAAAGCTTTAAGAGAAAAAAACTGCAATGATAATCAATATGACGACAATCAGTACAATGTGTTGCTACTCACATATTTGCCCGAAAACATTGTTAGCAATGATTCTGAACACAACATAGGACATTCTCATTGTTGGCACCACCTCATTGTATGTTAAAGTCAGCAAAGAGAATAAAAAAAGCCAAAGGAAAAGAATCAGATCACCATCCTGCTGTATTCTTTGAAATTTATTCAAAATTAATTACAAATGCTAGTATCTGTTTCATGTTTGCTTTGAATTAGCAATCTGCTTCTCTAAAAGGTACTTGAAATTGTTCATAATAAAATCAGTTGTATAACACTGTAAATGGTATGCAAGGATATAGAAAAAAATAGAAAAACAGGTATCATTAATAAGAAAGTGTTAAGTTCATTCCAAGGCAGAGCTGAGCCATTTGCTCAGTATATCACGCTCTGTGCTCCCTGGTAGCCAGTGCAAAGAAGGAGAGAGAAGGAGAGTGAGAGAGAGAAGGAGAAAAAAAATAGAAAGGAAGAAAGGAGATAAGTTACATAGTTACTATTTCATGACACAACACAACTCTGCAACTCTTCAGAAAGTGCTACACAAGCACTAATGTATAAACAAAGTGGTATTGCTTATTTTCTAATCAATGTCTCTAGGTAGCCTCAGCCTACACTTCAGTATCCTTATACGTAAGTAAAATTTATGTAGAGCATATGTATTGCCAGAAATATTTCCCTGCCTTACATATTTCACTTTATGGTTCATTACTCACATTTGTTCTTAAATACTGTAGTTTTAACAGCTGCCTCTAGTTTCTATCAAAGTACCCTAAAAATCCTGTAATAATATTTTCCACCTCATTTCCTCCTTTCTTTTGACTGCATTGTGATAAAGCACTGTGTCCGATAAGGGAAAGTGACAGCCTTGTCAAACTCTAGACCAAGCATTTGCATACCATTATTTTATTCACATGATTAGAGCAGGCACCAGAAACTGAAGGAATTTGCTTTCCCTAAATAATACATTTTCACTGATTATGGTGTTTTATCCTACAATCTGTCACTCATAAACTATCTCTTTCATAGTTCTGGGGTTGTTTTTTGGAGAAAATGCGTTCTTTATTTTCTGCCAAAAATTTATTGTTGTGGAAACAAAATTAATACAGGAACACTGGACACCATCTTATTTTTGATGAGCAACTGAATACCAGTCATTAATGTTAATATGATGATAAACCCACCAAATGCTTTAGTGTCTTTAATCCCAGAAGACAAAAGTACTTTATAAACCTTAAGTAAATATTGCAAATGTCAGTAGTGCTTCGTCAGAAGACTTTAATAGCTGCTTCAGAAAAACATTTTCATTTCTTGTCTACAAATTGCCTAATAATCACTTGTAGGAAAAAATAAATAAATCCCTTATTCAAAGTCTCCCATATTACTTCCTCTCAAAAGGGTAGAATATCTTTTCATGTTGAACTTCTTATTTCTCCAGTTCATTCATTCAGATGGTAAAATTCATGAATTGAACTATTTTTCTCATCAGGTTTTGTTCTGGTCAACCTTGAAGGGAAGACTTATCAACAAACAAGCTCTGGCAGAAATTATTCTAAGAGCTAGATTTCTCCCCTATTAATTATATGAGTGTCAAAAGCTTACTCGAGGAAAGAATAATTTCCACAGCAAGAGGTAGAGATATTCTATAACAGTTGCTTATAGTAATTGCCTCAATTCATTTGCAACTTAGCTCCTGCTCTTTTGTCTAGCTGCATGTAAAAAGGCACAGCAAAGAGCGCTGTGTCTGAGATGTGACATAATATGTATTTGAATCCTTGCTCTTTGTACTAGCTCTGTTACCTGGATCTTGCAAAACCGTAGAAGAGTTCCATTATTATCAAGCACTGGTCATCTTTCAGTATCCCTCTTCCTAACATGCATTAGTTCTAGTGGCTAATTCATGTTTGGGAAAGTCACCTAAGTATCCTCTTTGTTTTTGCCTCAGTTTGTTTTTGGCAAAAGTTACCTAATATTAATTTCCTGTTTGTTCCTGTAAGAGTGTGTGTCTTGGATGCTGGAGGCTGGAAAAGCTTTGCAGATCCTCTGCCCTAAGTGTAGAGATGCATGTTCCCTCACCTATGTAGAATAAAGAAAACTATAGCAATTTCTTTTTGTTTCCTCTGTCCCAGCGCACAGAGATATTTGGTTTTAGTTATGTGGATGATGACTTCATTCAGAACAACTCACATTCCCCGCTGATTTTCCACCATTTCTGTATCAGTAGCCCCTGTCCAAGGTTTTCTTCTTATAATGTTACCAGTGGTGGATCTTGACCCTCAATAAATAGAAGTAAAACAAGAGGCTGGGTGTGGTGGCTCACACCTGTAACCCCAGCAGTTTGGGAGGCCGAGGCAGACGGATCACCTGAGTTCAGGAGTTTGAGACCAGCCTGGTCAACATGGTGAAACCCCGTCTCTACTAAAAATACAAAAGAAGTAGCTGAGCGTGGTGTGCGTGCCTTTAGTCCCAGCTACATGGGAGGCTGAGGCAGGAGAATAGCTTGAGCCCGGGAGGCAGAGGTTGCAGTGAGCCGAGATCGCGCCACTGCACTCCAGCTTCGGCGACAGAGTGAGACTCCGTCTCAGAAAAAAAAAAAAAAGTAAACCAAGAGTCTGAAATGGGCTTGAACAAGGCAGTTTATTGGGGCTTTCAGCTTAAGCAGAAAGGGAGACAACAACAGGAAGGAACCTGCTGCTGGCTTCCCCAAATCAGGTTAGTTTGAGCTTTTCTTTTCCTTTGAGCCTCCTCCAGGTGACATTATTGGGGTGGTTCAGCGGTTGTGCCTGCACAGTCTCACGTCATGGCTTTACATACATGGTATGTCTCATTTGCATCTTAAATCTCCACCCAGAAGTCTCATTTGCATCTTAAATCTCCACCCAGTAAACTTTTACTATTAAAATGAAGCAAAGTTCAAGTTAGGACAAATTAAGATATTACTCAGCATTGGGGAAGTTTCTCTTGGAAAGTCTCTACAGTTGGCAACCAGGATGTTTGCGGTTAAAGTGCTTTGTTTCTTTCAGGCCTAATTGGTTGATTTTGTGAGAGGAAGTGTCTGTGGTGGTGCAGCTTCCAGGCTGAGTGTAGCTAGTCCATTAGGAGCTTGCAAGGAAAAACCTGGAGGGATCGCTGTTCTGTTCTCCCTGTCTCAATTGCATACAAGGGATATTGTTCCCAGTCTGTTACTAGTGGAGGGTCTTGACTATGAGTTGTCCAGGTTCTTGGCGTTTTGAACAAATTGGACAAAACACACAAACAAAGCATCAAAAGAATGAAGCAAGGAAAGCACAGATTTATTGAAAGGAAAGTAAACTCCACAGAGTGGGAGTGGGCTCAAGCAAGCAGCTCAAGAGTGCTGGTTACAGAATTTTGTGGCATTTAAAAATACCCTCTAGAGGTTTCCCATTGGTTACTTGGTTACACCTTATGTAAATGAAGGAGTGGCTCATGACCAGTCTGATTGGTCGTGGGAGGCGACCAATCAGAGGCTGAAGAGAAGTTAGGAAGTTACACATAAAGACTTGGCCCCTGACCAATCTGACTGATTGCAGGAGGGGGCCAATCAGAGGTACTTTCCATTTTTCACCTGGAAAATGGGAAACGGGTGAGGGGGCAGGGCATTCCAAAAGCAGTAGGCTCTAATCCTTTTGTTACTTGAGCATGGAAAGGTGGGGTTTTCCTTTTGATTCAGTTCTAGGAAGTCCTACTGAATTGGCCTTAGGTTCCCTGCCTCCAGACCTATTCTCCTGCCTCAAGGCTAAGCATCTCCCCTACAACTGCCCCCACCCTGCCACTCCTGCCAAACTGCCTCTCTGAAGGCCAACTTGTGAAATTCTCTATTCTTGCATGAAGATAAGGAGGTATGTATCTAAATACAGCTGTACCTGTCAGTGAATCCTGGTCCAGCCCCTTACTGGAGATATGACATTCAATAGCTAACTTAACCATACTGAATCTTCTTTTTCTTATCGTCTGTGAAATTGGGCTTATAAGAGTATCTACGATAGACATTAGTTGTGAGGATTAATTAAATTTAGAAACTAATATTTATAAAATATAAAATACGACATTGCCAGAATAAAGACTAGCACTCTGTAAGATATTATAAACTTTACCAGTAGTCACCTTGTACAGCACTCCATTCAATTTTGAAATCCTTTAAGCGTGCTTTAAAAAATTTTCGAAATCCTTTAAGGGTGGTGTAACGTGACCCTTACTCCCTAGGGTCACCTATCAGTTTATTATTCATAAATTGACAACTGAACCTTTACTGTCTTCATCTCTTCACCCTACCCTGTCTTCCCTCCTTTCCCAGGACACATTCTTTTTTCACTGTCTGTAGCTTGGGCAACCAGTCATTCCTATTTATAAGAATTTCCCTTTGATGAAGCTGGAAATAATTTCAGTTCTGCACATAGGCAGATGGGGTGACATGAAGGGAGAGAAATATCTTAGTTCCCCTCTGCTTGTATTATCTTTTGTGAAAACATAACAGTAATTTAGTTAACAAAAAGAACTGAAGTATGAAAAATCCTTCTTAGACTTTAGTGATTATTAAGAGCTAATGATTTTTCAGTATCTCTCTGCCTAACATTAATCAGCTCTAGTGTGTGGTTTTTGCAAAAGTCTGGGATCCTTTTTTGTTTTTTGGGTTTTTTAAGAGACAGGATATTTCACTGTCGCCCAGGCTGGAGTGCAGTGGTGCTATCACAGCTCACTGCAGCCTCAAACTCCTGGGCTCAAGTGATCTTCCTGCCTCAGCCTCCTGAGTAGCTGGGACTATAGGTGCATGACATCACTCTGAGTTAATTTTAAAAAATTATTTGTAGTGGTCTTGCTTTGTTTCCCAGGCTAGTCTCGATCTCCTGGCTTCAAGCAATCCTCCCTGTTTGGCTTCCCAAAGTGCTAACAGGTGTGAAACACCATACACGGGCCTAGTCCCTGATTTTTATCTCCAACATATGGAGTATGAGGCTGAGATCGTCTTTTTTGTTGTTCACTTAAACTACAGCACAATCTACGTCCCACCAAGAGGGAAGAATAAGCATCCTTGAAGATGATGAACAGATGAGAAGATCCATTCTGTCCAAATTTGTATTTTCTAATTGTTATGAATATTTAAATAAGAGAATTTTGTAAACAGATTAGAACAGTGCTAACATACGCTTGGTGGTTGACTTGTTTCCATTATCCTTGTGCAACATTCTAGCTGAGGCAATAGGGCAGTTATATGTATACTTATGCCTTCATATTCAGTCTGCTAAACCTTACTTCTAGAATTGGTGTTTTATAATGATGAAAGCTTAAGAAGATTTTAACGTCTTAAATTTGGGGGAGCCTAAATCATTGTCATTTTTGTATTGCTGCTTTTATTCATCATATTAGTGTCAACAAAAATGGTTGGCAAGATAATTTCGTGAAATGATGCCACATATGAAAATGAAATGAACTGGCATCTTAAAACTTATATAAAAACTACGGGAAAGGGCTGCTACATTTCTTTAAAATTGTCCTTTACAAAAGAATAAAATTTCTTATAAAGTAAAAAAACTAACATTTTACACCTGTTTGTAATTATTGCATTTTTACACATGTGTATTTCATTTCTGTTACAATTAAATGAATAATCAAAATGCAGATATTTTCCTTCTGCTTTTAGAGCTCTATTGCATTACAGATAGACTTCAGAAATAGCTTTGTTTCTCTAGAGAAAAAAACTTATTCCATTCAAGAATGCAACTATTATTATAACACATGCACATTTTTAACTGATAGGAAATATAAATATGTAAGCCTGACCTTAAAGTCAATTGTATTTACTTTATAATCACCAAAAACATTAGAAAAGAAATTGATTTATAATAAATTCACACTCTGTATTATTTTTAAAGAGGGAAAAATAGATAGATAGTTAATCCTTCCAGATTCTGATGGGATATTGAACATCCTCTGTTCTAGATGTTTTGTGTATGTGTGTTATTTATCTTTCCTTGGCCTCCCTTGACTATTTGTCTCAACATTACATGCCAGCGGCTTTTTCTCTTGCTTGAGGGCAAACAGCATATTGTTCATGTTGATCATGGTGAATGCTTGTTTTCTCATTGTAAAATAATTTACTAGTCATCAGCATCCCCACAGACGCTGTAGAACTGTCCTTCTTTTACACAGCAATGGCAAAGGACTGCACTTCCTTGAAAACTTGGGTAAGGCTAACTAGAACAAAATCACTTGCAAAGAAATTAAATGGTAGAAATTTAAACCAAATATCAGTCACTTTCCTAACTCATATGAATGGGTAAGAAGGGTGCAGATAAAATAAACGTGACAAGGTCAAGCTTGTTTCTAAATCCAAAGAGTTCTCCCAATCAAATTTGGGGTTACAGAGCAAGAATTGAAATGAAACAGCAGAGGAGCAGAATACCAACAAATTACAAATCCTATGTTGAAGCCAACTGGTAGGAGAAGGCCTGATATCAGAGAAGAAGCTTGAGCTTTGAAGTCAGATATACCGCACTTACGTTTGAATTCTAGCTCTACTGTTTCTTAACTTCAACTGAAGTATATTACCTAAATTCTCCAAAGTCTCAGTTTCTTTATGTGCATAAAGATAGTAATACCTATCTCCAAAGCACTTGAAGAATTGAACTGGAAAATGTGGATAAAATACCTAGCACACTATCTCTGGCACGCTGTAGGTATTCCAGTATTTGTTCCTTTCCCTACTTCTCCTCTCAGGAAGTGGCATTAATTCCTGCAATCTGTTTTTTTCCGGAAAAACCAGAACTCTTTCTATCAGAATTCAGCTAGTGCTGAATTAACGTTAGGTCCTGCCATAAAGCGGCTTTATCATTTCCCAAATTCCCTTTAAGTATGCGTGTGAGGGGGTAGTAACTTGCCTCCATTTACTCTATTTTCAGAGATTCCTCATGCAAGGCTGTGGGGGAAACACAGAAAATAGTGAAATTTCAATTTGCAGGGAACAAAGTAACAGAAAATATTTCTTTGAGACTCTTCAGTGTTATCTATCAAAAAGTCACTGGTTTGTTTTCAAAGGAAATAGCCTTTTTTTTTCCTTTGTGGAATAAATTATGAAAGTGCTCCTTGATAACTGCCGGTAATACAGAACTTTTTCCATCATTAGAAAATCCACAGAATTATTGGACAACTTCAATTGTTATACAAATAAACAAAAATCTTTAGAGTGGGCTAAGATGGCCACCTTAGAAAGAATTATAGCACTTATTAAGAAGCAGTAATAAGACAAGTATTTGAAGAACTATCAGTTTGCAGCAGCATTAAAAAAGACAGCTCTGTACTTACCTTTATCAGAATGAACAGAGATTTTCATTTATTTTTAAAATGAGTGTAGATTTGGATAACACATTTGTATTCTACTCATGGCTTTGCCAGCAGTAGGACCTTGGAAATGTTTACTGATTTTCTGGTTGATTCTGTTTCTACTTATATGGAAAGTAAGATAATCATGTTCCTTCTAGCTCATGGAAGATGCCCAATAAATGGTAATACGTATACATGTATACCAATAGAACTAAGGTCATTATCTTCTTCAATTCTGACAAAAGGCTACAGATTATTCTCTTGTGTGCAAAAGATAAATAACACACATACATACATGAGAAAATTGGTTATATGTATATAATATGTTGTGATCAAGTCAGGGTCTTTAGGGTGTCCATCACCTGAGTACAGTACATTTTTGTTACGTATCGTCATCCTACTCTGCAACAATCATTGAATTTATTTGTCTTACTGTATGTTTGTACCCTTTTACCCACTTCTCTTCATTCCCATCCCCCCTACTCACCCCTCCCAGTCATGTTGTCTATTTTTCCACTCTATACCTCTCTGTTCCATGTTTTTAGCTCCCACATCATGAGTGAGAGCATGCAATATTTGTCTTTCTGTTCCTGGCGTATTTCATTGAGACATTAACCTCCAGATCCACCCATGGTGCTGTGAATGAAATGATTTTTTGTTTTTTTAACTGCTGAATAGTTAGATTAAATAGTAATAGTGGATCCAGGATTTGAAATCAGGACAGCTACCTTCTTTTATACCATGAAACTGTGAGTAAATTGCAGATCAAGCAAGACGATAGGCACAGATGTTCTCTGAATGTTCTAGCTTGGTTTGTAGCCCCACCAGGGGCAAGTGTGAGGTTAGTGAGAGTTCTAGACTTCATGCAAAGCAATGTTGTCAGGTAGCCATTCCACATGATAGTCGTGTACAGTGATAAGGAGGGATATTACACATAAAAGCAAGACAACATTCAGCTGTTAAATTTATTCCTGCTGATTTTTGTTCTTCACTACAGCTTGTTGAGGTTATTTTGGATGTTGGCCCTGGTTTTGATTTAAATTCAAACTGCATGTGGCTTTCATATCTTTATCCAGTTTTTGATCAAGACAAAGCCAAAGATGCCTCCTGAAAAGAGGTCCCATAGTGAAATCTATTACAAAACACTTAGTGGATAGGGTTCACAATGAGCTGTAAAGTGTGCTATTCATATTTACAGTGTACTTAGAAGCCCATTTAAAAAATCTAGTTCACAAAGTTGCAATAATTTTTTTTCTAGTTGAAATAATTCATGTTATAATACATAGTATCATTCACTTGTTTGGAACCTCAAAAAGAAAGGAAGATGGTAACCAAGCTTCAGAAACAACAAATTCCAGAAGAATGTCTGCCTTATTTGTCAGTGTTATCCTTGGTTTCTAGCACAGTAGCTCACACACACAGTTGCTCAAATAATACTTACGAAATAATTATTTTTTTAAACCACAAAATTAGTTGTTCTAGTCATTACACATAGATTTGTTCTTTTTATATATGATTTTCATCAAATATGGGATTACATATTTGATGAAACTAACTAGTTCATAGCACAAATTCCTATAAAAACAATTTTGTGAAGGAAATCTAGTCTGGACCACAGTAGAGCTAGAACTTGACCCTGTGCTCTGCACTTAACTTTTTTTTTTTTTTTTTTTTTTTAGTAGAGACAGGGTTTCACCATGTTGGCCAGGCTGGTCTTGAACTCCTGAGCTCAAGTGATCCACCCTCCTCGGCCTCCCAAAGTGCTAGGATTACAGACTTGAGCCACCACGCCCAGACTGCACTTAACTATCTTTTGTTCCCACAAAACTACATCTGAGTTATGAGTCCTGGACTCACAGACCTTCATTATGCTTCAAAACAATTTACTTGTAGAAGTAACCATTAGCATGCCAGTTGTTTTACACACATTCTGTCAACCAGTCATCTAAATTTTCCACTAAGGTAGATGCTATTCTGATCGTGTTACACAGATAAGTAAAATGAAGCTCAAATAGTTTGTTTTTGCCAAATTCTAATAGTGCTAAGTGTTATTTCTCATGATTTTTTCTTATCTCTAGATACTGCAGTTTTCAGAGACTTTGAAGGCTGAAGATGAAAATAAGAAGGTAAAAATAAATTCTGCATTAGTCAAGTTTTTCCAAGCTTAGAAATGTCTATATAGTGGGGATTGGAAAGGGGAAATTCCAGGTAAAATAGGAATTTGGAAAATAAAATTTAGTTCATTAGTAAATCTAGTATCTCTGCCTCGAAGAATGAGGTTATCATGGCAAAAAATATAGGAAATTCTTAGCAATTATTACCAAATTCGTAAGATAAATTTCGTCTTGCAATCAGTATCCAAATAATCCAAATTTAAAAGAAAATGAAAGCTAATATGTAAATGATTTCCCCAGTGTCTCTTCTGTCTTTACAAAATGAAATTGGTTCCCATAAGTGTATTCATTTTCCTATTATTAGGAACAATCACTTAGAATGATGTTTTTACTATTATAAGAATGATCACATATTCTGATATGTGTACTTTTTGAAAACAACATCCCTAGAGGAATCGTCTTAACTGAGTGTTTCAAAGTGTTTAACATAGTGCCTGCTATATATGTGCATGTAAATATATGGACTTTTTTTTAGAGAAGTCACAATTGGAGAATTGAATGCTGGAGAAACACTAGTAAAATGAGAAGAAAATTAGCATGCGTGTCTCTCGGTTAAATGAGCATGCAATGTGGAAAAGGGGGTCACATTAGTTAATTCATTGAATCTCTCAAATCACTCACTGATTAGATACTCTGAATTCAATAAAAGTTTGATTTGAAAATATTTTAATTGGGTGTTACTGGTTGGCTAGAATTGGCTACATAACACAGATGATTCTCACTATTAGATAACATATTATTGTTAAAAAATGATCACACCTTTATTATCTGTGACATTTTGTGATACAGATGTTGCATTTTTATGCAAAATGCAATCAATAATTGTTATAAAATACTATAATGAAATTAGGCTGATTGCTCTATTTGATTTAAAATGTCATATAGTAAAGGTTATTTTCACTCATGAAGATTAAATGCATGTGGCCATATGTTAGAACAATCTTTTGAATTGAAAATATACTCAGCTGAAAATTGTCTACAAACTCAGAAATATCCAAAGAAAAATAGCTTTCTTTTTTATTTGCCAAAGCATCTTCTCTCAATTAAAATGTCATTATGTTACACTCATGGATGACACTCCATTATGACAAATCTTGTATCAGAAACAGTAAATTATTCTATATATAAATTTGATGGCATTTTGATATGAAAATGTGTAAAATCTGTCAATACCCCGGAAATGGAACATCAACAAAGAGGATTATTGGTCTACCCAAATAATAATGTAACCATTCAGAGGATAATGTTTTCCAATCGCAATTACTGCTCTAATTTTAAAGGGGCTATCATTTACAATAATTTGGCAGATTTGGCTCATATTTCTTTCAGAAGTTCATTTCTTCATTATGCTTCAAAACAATTTATGGTGCATTTATGTTGGGGAAGATAATTTGCTTATTTTACTGTGAGTGGAAATCAGTAATTACATACAATCCCATTTTCTCCAGACATAAAGTTAATTCATAGTGGTAATTTTATACAGAATATTAGCTTGCATTAGTTATGATGAAAATGTAACTGTAGTAAATGCCTCTATTATAACTGAATTTCCTTGGACCTGATGAAAAAAGGAATGTTGACTTAGTAATAACAATTCCATGATGTTGTGGCAAGCCTATGGATCATTTGCCCTACTAGCAGTATGTGGGAAATTATTACTGCCAACACTCTGGCTTTGGATACGACTGAGTTTGAATCCAGACTTCTCTATTTCTGTGCTATGCAACTTCGAGCAAGTAACATAGCTTGTGCAAGCCTTAATTTTGTCACCTGCAACAGGGAAAGAATTACAATACCTATGTCATAGCGTTCTTGTTAGGGTTAAGTGAAAAGATACATGAGCAATTTTAGTTTGTTTCCCAAATTTATGGATATAGCAGTAGTGTTTTGAAAAGGACCTGACAGAAATGCATCAAAATATGTATTTATCTTCACCCAACCCTGACTAGAAGATCCTTATACTGGAGGAAAGCATACAATAAAAATAAAGGAAGGAAGGATTTTTAATTTCTATACAAATGTTTGTTGGGATTTTGTTAGGAACTGGACTGCCACATTAATAATGTTTTCCAATTCATTAACATGGAATATCTCTCCAACATTGTCTTTATAAAATTTCTCCAGTCTTGCAATCTTTTGTATAGTGGCCTTATACATTTTTAATTAAAAGTGATGCTACATGGTTTACAATTTCTTATGCTGTTGTAAATGCCAATTTTATTTGATTTGCCAATTGTTCATTGTTAGCGTATGTAAATAACATTGATATATCATCATTGTAGTCTGCGGTGTTCATTAATTCACTTGTTAGCTCTAGTAATTACTTTAGAATTTCTTTAGGATTTCTATATGTACAGAAATGAACATTTTATGTCTCCTTTCTTTAATCTTTATACTTTTAATGTTTACGTTCTTTATTTTTCTCGTTCTTATTGCACTGGATAGGACATCCAGAACAATGCTAAGTAGCACTGGTCAGGGCAGCCCATCTTACCTTACTCCTGATGTTAGAAAGAAATGATTTGTCTTTCAATATTAAGTATGATATTACTTAATTACTAAATTAAGTAGGATTTTCACAAAGGCCCTTATCTAGCTAAGGAAGTTCTCTTGTTTCCCCCTAGTTTGTTGGGAAATTTTATCATGAATGTAGGTAAAATTTTGTCAATGCTTTTCCTGCATTTGTTGACATAATCATATTATTTTCTCCTTTATTTTGCTAATGTGGTGAATTACACTGATTGATTCTCAAATGTTAAATGAGTTTTTCATTTAGGGATAAACACAACTTGATCATCATATATTTTCTTCTTTCCTTCTCATATATTGTTGCAAATATTTTGTTATTTGTGTCTGAGGATACTGGTTTGAGTTTTTATTTTCTTGTTATGTCCTTGTCTAGTTTACTTATCAAGGTTATGTAGACCTTATAAAATGAATTAGAAAGAGTTCCATCCTCCAGTATTTTCCAAAAGACTTTAAGATTGATACTATTTCTTCCATTAACGTTTTCTAGAATTCAGCAGTGAAGCCATCTATACCTGAAGGTTTCTTTGTGGGAAGAGTGTTAATTACAAAAATACAATAGATTTAGCAAATACAGAGTTATTTTAACTCTCTGTTTCTTCTTGTGTCTGTCTATTAACTTGTGTTTTTCGAACAATGCGTCTTTTTATATGAGTTGTCAAATTTACAGGCATCAACTTGTTTATAATTATAGTACACGTATTGATGCTACCTCTTTCTTTTCTGATAACTGTGTTTCTTTTAAATCTTTTTTACCCTTGGTTACTATAGTTATGGGCTACTTAGGTTTATTTGATATTAATCTATTTTATATTTTGGAGAAGGAGATAATATTTCCATACCACTAATAATTAGTTTCATTGCTTTTCCTCTATGTTTGACTGTTTGTTTCTTTAATTTTCCCTCTAATCATTATTATTTGCTTTTATTTTTTTTGAGTCAATTACATCATGTTTATGGGTTTTTTTATGATAGATATTTGTATAATTGATTATATGCCTTTCTTCTCTCCTAATATAAGCAAGCGATGCTACGATTTTTTCTCTAAACACTATGAGAGTGGTACCCTACATATTTTTATATGCTATGTTTTAATTGTCATTCAGTTCTAAGTATTTTCTAATTATTTTTAGCTTTTGTTCTAACCATAAGTTATTTATGAGCATGCTGCTTGATTTCCCAATGTTTTGGTATTTTTATACCTCTTTTTTATTTCTAAATTAATTCTGTCTTAGAATACATACTATATGATGTCAAACTTTTGAAATTCAATGAGACTAGTATTATGGTTCAAAATATGGTTTATCATTGTGAATGTTCCATGTGCTCTTGTGAAGTGTATGTTCATATTGGTTGTACATAGTATTCTATAAATATCAACTAGGTTATTAGTTATATTTGAAAGGCTAAATCCTTTCTGAGCTTTAGTCTACATTTTCTATCAATTACTGAGTGTGGACATACTGAGTATGTCTTCTTGATGAATTGACCTTTATCATTACAAAATGCCTTCTTGTCTCTGATAATAAGCCTTTCCTCTGGAGGTCTACTTTGTTTGATATGCACATAAGTATACCTGCTTTTTCTTACTATTTCCATTGCTTTCCTTTAACTATTTACTAAAAGAATAAACGGCACCTCTTGTGAACAGTATATAGTTGGGTCTCCCTTTTTTTATTTAACCTGAGAATCTCTGTCTTTTAATTAGACTTGCATTGAATTTTCATATAACTATTGATATGCTTTTGTTTATGTCTACCATTATGTGATTTTTAAATTTAATATTTCTGTCCCATCTGTTCTTATTTTATCCTTCTCCTGAATTCTGGGGGGGTTAACTAAGTACTTTGTTTTCCTTGACCTTCATCTTTTTGTTTAACTTTTATTTTAAGGGATACAAGTGCAGTTTTGTTACATAGGTATACTTGTGTCATAGGGGTTTGTTTTATAGATTATTTCACTGCCCAGGTATTAAGCCTAGTACCCATTAGCTGTTTTTCCTGATCCTCTCCCTCCTCCCACCTTCCACCCTCAAAAAGCCCCCTGACTTTTTCAGTTTTATTTGTTTAACTTTCCACTGCACATCTAGGGATTATAATATTCAGTGTTAATATCTACAGTGTACTATGTTGTGAATTTACCACTTCACATATAAGGATTTTAAAATAATAAGCCTCAATTTCCTATCATCTTCCTTTCTGTTTCAGTTGTTTTCTACTCTATTGCACTTATTATATATCCCAAATACATTGCTGTTATTTTGTTTTAAACAATGACCTTTTAAATATTTTTTTAAATGGGAAGAGAGCAGTCCACAGTACTTGCACACAAATTCTCAGTTTGCTTTCTCTTCTTTCAATTACGTGAATATGATAGTATCAGATATTACTTTCTTTTAGGCTGAAAAACTTACTTTAGCATTTTTTTAACTTCCTGTTTATTGGTTCCAAATTATGTCAGTTTTTTTTTTTTTTTTTTTTTTTTTGACAGAGTTTCACTCTTTTGCCCAGGCTGGAGTGCAGTGGTGTGATCGGCTCACTGCAACCTCCGACCCCAGGGTTCAAGCGATTCTCCTGTCTCAGCCTCCCAAGTAGCTGGGATTATAGGCACCCGCCACCATGCCTGGCTAATTTTTGTATTTTTAGTAGAGACGTGGTTTCGCCATGTTATCCAGGCTGGTCTCGAACTCCTGACCTCAGGTGATCCACCCACCTCGGCCTCCCAAAGTGTTAGGATTACAGGCATGAGCCACCACACCCGGCCTCTATCAGCTCTTAAACTAAAAATGTCTTTATTTTGCCTACATGGTTAATGCCATTTTCTATGACCAAAGAACTCAAGAATCATTTTTTATTTTTAGCAATTTAAAATTTGTTAGCTCCTTGCTGCATTATTCTGATGAAACATTATCACACATTCTTATCCATGAACCCTAAGGTGTTTTTGTCTTCCTTCATTGAGTTGTTTTACGATTTCATCTCTTTGGTTTTCAGCAATGTAAGCAATAATGTGCTTAGGTTTGTCCTTTTTTATATGTTTATTTTATTTATTTATTTATTTTTTTGAGACGGAGTCTCGCTCTGTCACCCAGGCTGGAGTGCAGTGGCGAGATCTCGGCTCATTGCAAAATCCGCCTCCCAGGTTCACGCCATTCTCCTGCCTCAGCCTCCCGAGTAGCTGGGACTACAGGTGCTCCCCACCACGCCCAGCTATTTTTTTTGTATTTTTAGTAGAGACGGGGTTTCATCGTGTTAGCCAGGATGGTCTCGATCTCCCGACCTCATGATCCGCCCACCTCGGCCTCCCAAAGTGCTGGGATTACAGGTGTGAGCCACCGTGCCCGGCCTGTATGTTTATTTATACTGTTTGGGGCTTGTTTTGCTTCTTAAATCTGTAGGTTAATATTTTTATCAAGTTTGGAGACTTTTTTATTTCCATCTGCCTTTACTTTGAGTTTATGGAAGGTATCTTTTTATACATTATTATATCCATCTTTTCTGTTGAATCTTTGAACATATTCACATAGCTGCTTTAAGTCACTACTCTGCTAATTCCTACAATAGCATAATGACTCAGTATGTTTCTATTCACTGTTTTCTCCTGGGTATGTGTTACAAATTTTTAAACTGCACTGTGTGTGTGCTGTGTCCTTTAGAATCTGGATTTCTTTTTCAAGAACCTTCACTTTTGTTCTGTCAAGCATTTAACTTACTGTTTGATCAGCTTAATTATACTCAGGCTAGTTTTAGGTTTTATTAGGAACCATCTAGAGTTACTCTTATTCTAAGGCTATATCAGCTCTATTTATAAAGAAAGGCTTTTCTGGGATTTTACTTGAATGACTGGGTGTTCAGTGATATCTCTTTATATGGTTGATTAGAACTCCAATTATTCCCAGTGATACAGAGGAGGGGGAGCAGGAAAGTGCTGGGTAGAGGAAGGCGTGGTACCTGGCTAGGGCTCCACTCCCGGGCCTGTGCCCACGAACCTAGGTGAGGACAGGCACTCCTGCCTTCTTGCCCAAATGTTGCATGTCCCAAGACCACCCTGGCCAGCCACGCCCCCATCCTCTGCCGATGAAAACCCCGAGACCCTAGTAGGCAGACACACAGGCGGCTGGACTTCAAGAGAAGCACATTAGCAGAGGAACACACGGGCAGCTGGATGTCGAGAGGAACACACCCGCATAAGAGCACACAGACATGCCGGCAGGCCATCACCTGGGATCAGGAGGCAGAGTTTAGCCGTGGCTGTCGGGGAAGAGTCAGGTCATGGGGCGTGGTGAAACGATCTCCCTCTGGCTTCCCCATCTGCTGAGAGCTACTTCCGCTCAATAAAATCTTGCACTCATTCTCCAAGCCCATGTGTGATCAGATTCTTCCAGTACACCAAGGGAAGAACCCCGGGTTACAGAAAGCCCTCTGTCCTTGCGATAAGGCAAGGGTCTAATTGAGCTGACTTTAACACAAGACACCTATGGATGGCTAAACTAAAAGAGCATCCTGTAACACACGTCCACTGGGGCTTCAGCTGTAATCATTCACCCCGTACACTGCCGTGGTGTCGGAGCCCCACAACCTGCCCGTCTTATTATGCTCCCCTAGAGGTTTGAGCAGCGGGGCACTGAAGAAGCGAGCCACTCCCCCATCGCATGCCCTGCGAGGGGGACAAGGGAACTTTTCCCATTTCACCTGCACTATTTGACCTTCATTAAAAAAGTTATTTCCTGCCAGTCTTCCCAGAGTCTCACCTTGAAAGTACAAATTAGTATTCAGCAAAGCCTCAGGAAAAGCACTATGCAGATATTTGTGGCTCTTTCCCTTCCTCACAAATTTCTGCCTGTTTAACAACTCCAAATTCTGATCTCTTTTTTTCCTGCCAGGTGAGACTATTGTTCTCTGCTTGACCGCTACTCCCCTATGACAAAGTTTGGAAAATGCCTTCAGACAGACAGAATATAGGGTAGATGTTGAGCTTATATCACGTACAGAATTTCCCTTCTTTCTGTTGTCCAATGACTACAAATAGCTACTTCATAAAATTTATCCATCAGTATAGTAGTTTTATGGTTGGAGTATATGTAGGCTATCCGTAACTGTGTCTTCACCAGAAATGGAAATCCGTTTTAGTTGTATTTACTTCCCATTAAATTTTGTGGAACCTATTCACCATGTCCAAAGTAATAGCCTTCCTGAGGAAGTCTCCCTATATTTATAGAAGCAGAAGAAATAGATTACTTGGCCAACATAGATACATTTTCTTACAAGCATCTGTGCAGCAGGTTTGAGATATTTGTATAGCTTAAAAAAGTACAAAGAATCTTTAGACTTGGTAAAATGAAGCTTCTGTATTGCTAAATGATGTGTCAGGACATATTTAGTGGGTGAGAGACAGATCTGAGATAAAAACTTTGGGCTGGGTGTGGTGGCTCACGCCTGTGATCCCAGCACTTTGGGAGGCTGAGGCGGGCAGATCACTTGAGGTCGGGAATTCGAGACCAGCCTGACCTACATGTAGAAACCCCATCTCTACTAAAAATACAAAATTAGCCAGGTGTGGTTGTGCATGCCTGTAATCCCAGCTACTAGAGAGGCTGAGGCAGGAGAATCACTTGAACCCAGGAGGCAGAGGTTGCAGTGAGCCGAGATTGCGCCACTGCACTCCAGCCTGGGCAACAAGAGTGAAACTCTGTCAACAACAAGAACAACAGCAATAACAAGAAAAACAACTTTGAGTTTCAAAAGTCACTTTCAGAACCTTAATCTTGGCTGGGTGCCATGGCTTGTGCCTGTAATCCCAGCACTTTGGGAGGCCGAGGGTGGCGGATCACCTTAGGTCAGGGGTTTGAGACCAGCCTGACTAACGTGATGAAACCCCGTCTCTACTAAAAATACAAAAATTAGCTGGACATAGGGGCGGGTGCCTATAATCCCAGCTACTCGGGAGGCTGAGGCAGGAGAATCGCTTGAACCTGGGAGGTGGAGGTTGCAGTGAGCCAAGATCCCACCATTGCACTCCAGCCTGGGCGACACAGCAAGACTCTGTCTCAAAAAAAAAAGAAAAAAAAAGAAAGAAAAGGAACCTTAATCTTCTGGGCTGTATTTAGGGCTGAAGAATAGTAGGAAATAGCATGGGGTGAAGTTTTTAAAGAATGGTAGTGTCTCAGAGGATTTTGTTTAAATGTATCTCATTTAACACATTGCATTGTCTCTCTTAGAGATGGTTAAGAGAATGTTACACCATTTAAATGTCTGATCACAAAAGAAGAAAAGAAAAAACTACTGAAGTTTTCCTAGACTATCTGTTGCCCAACAGCCTTTTTCTAGGGGACATTTTGTTCTTGTTAAATGTATACATCATCACATGTACTTACCAAGATATTTGTGAATGCAGAGTCGAGTCATTTTTTTAACGATCAGTGTGTGCAATGGTAAAAGCGAAAGGTTACTTCAGGACTCTTCATTTGTTCATCCATTTAATATTTTTGAAAGTACTAATGAGCAATTGGAGTTAATTATCAATTAAAAATAAATGTATCTCTTCAAAAAAAAAAATTGTTCTGAAATCACATGGTCCCATTATAAAATGTTTTCTTGTTCCCCTTGAGAAGAGCTGATTTACATAATATGTTAACTATCATAGTTTTCTTACATTTAGGTATAAAATTCCCATGCTAGAGTTCTGAATGTGTAACATTAAAAGGCTTGAAATCCATTTCTTTTTCTTCTTCTTTTTTAAGTTGCTAACTGTGAAGATATAAGAAACAGATTGACACTAACCACTTCAATGTTTTGCTTAAAAATGGAGCAATGGACTGTGCACAATGCAGCCCATTCATGTTGGCCAAGAACTGATCTCCTCAGGGAGCCAAAGAGGAAACATTTCGCTTTGTATGATTTTTCACAAATCTTGGACCTGTATTGAATAAATTTTTTGACATGGAAGCCCTTGAAAAATTCCCATGCCCATTATCAGCCCAGTTCTAGCTGCTTCTAATTATCTTGCTTAACAATTCGAGGGACTTTTTGTTGTTGTGGTTTCTCACGAGAAACTGCCAAACAAGAAGAGGTGGTTTAGCATGGTGATTTGGCTGGGGAAACCGTTTTTGGAATCCTCTGAGTAACTGAAACCAGACTTTACATGTTTGAAAGATGAAAAGATCCCTGCAGCCTTATAGGAGGATGATTGACTCTCTTTCTATGTAACTATGAAGGAGTTTACCAAGAGCTTACCTGAAAATAGACTCTACTGTAAACAGACCTCTAAATAGCAGAACTTATGTGACCCAAGCTAAAACTTACTAGTATTTTCAAATACTATTCACATCCTTTTCCTAAAAGAAGAAAGGAATGCATGTTTTTGAAAGCCTTACAATGATATTTCTGCCATTAATATGCACCTATATGAATAAGATCTCAAAACTATAAGTAATTTATATTCATAATATAAATTATGAATTTATATTTTGTGAGAATTAGAAATTCTCACAAATAACTATCTCATGAAGTTATATCTCCACTTTTTATATAAAAATGATCAATTTCTGAGACATTAAAAAATGTATCTAACTACATGTAGCTAATGGTAGGAGAGAACCTAGATTAAAAAAATTTGGTCTATGTGATTTTGACCTGACACACTTCATATTACACATTTTTAATTAGATATCTAAGAAGACAAGAAAGATAACGGCATCCTAAAACTAGCTCTTTTTCATTCTGCATTGTTTTCCAATGTTATATTCACCTTCACAATCAGGCTCAAAATTTTTAAATGATCATTGTCTTTTCTCCCTAACTTATTTTCTTAATCACTTCTGTATTCAATTTCTCTATTTTTTGTCTCTCACAAAATAATCAATGAAATCATCTAATTGTGATACCGTTTTCCTTGAACTCAATATTTTGAGAACTCAACATTTTATCCTTGATTTTCTCTGTATTCCCTCTCCTTAAAATATAGTATAGTCCTCCTTACTCTTTGTTAGTAATACTTAATAATTTAATTCTAACCACTGCTACTTAACCCTTCATCATTATCTCCAAATCACTCATAAACTTGAACACAGTTTGATGTTTGCTTGTCTTTATGTGCATTTGTTTCCATTTCATTTCTAGAGTCAACCACAGGCTTCTAGCATGTACATTTTGTATGCAAACAAAAAATACTGTATTCTAAACCCACAAGAGAAAGGGAGAAGAGAACAAAACATTTTCTGAGGGTCTATTTTACTTAAGACATAGTCTAATTTTTTTTGTTTATTATTTTATTTAATCTCCTAAAATACATCCAAGGTAGACATAAGGACCCTTTTATAAAAATTATGAATGTGTGGCTCTAAAGTATTTAAGTACTTTGTTTATGTCTCTCAAATAATAAAGGGTTGAACCCAATTTTTTTTAACACCAGTCTCCCTGATTCCAAAACCTGTGCTAATTCTATTTTACCAAAGAGTTTCTTCCAGATTTCTGATTAGTAGACTTTGTATTAATTCAGTTTCACAATAATAGAGGGAGTTTACAGAGCCAAATATTTTGACATAGCATACAAATGTGTATTTCTATTAATAAACTCAGGAACTCTGTGAGTATAAATTAAGAATATCAGCATTTATTGACAAATTATAATTTGGAAAAAAACACATTCTATAGAAAATGAGGAGTGTGGAAAGTAGATTAAATAATGTAAAATGTGGAACTAACATGCATAACTTCAGCGATATAAGTGGACTCATTACCAAAGCAGAAAATATATTCCAAATGGTCTATGTAATTTGTAAAATTACCAGGTATTTCTGCAACAAAATTATGACCATATATTCACTGAAATCTCTTTGAGTTCTTAAACCAAATGAAAAAAATATATATAACCTGTAACTTTAAAAGAGATTTGAAGGCACGTGATGCAGCTTGGGTGATAATTTGAAATCTTCTGTCTGTACTTATTCATTCATCTTTATTTTCTGTGGGTAAACAAGGTTTGCCCACAGAGCTGGCCCAGTAGGCACACCTAATAACAAAAGGTTATTCTTATAGGAGTGGTTCAGATTAACTTGCAAATCAAAGGGAATTGTTACCACTAGCAAGATGAAATCAGTTTACTTATTTAGGTAAAGTTTTTGGAGCTCTGTGTTTATGTCACTAAATAGGTATAGCAATATATTTCACAATGGGAGAATGACAATGTTTAGAGGGAATAAACTGTATCTTACCACGCCATGGAAAATAGAAGGATAAAGTTGAAATTTTAGCTGATTTATTTGATATCTTTTTACATAATACATTGTTGTCTCAGTATACTCACACATTCATTTTTCATTTAGCCAGAATTTTTGCTCTATTTTCTCTATATTTCCCCCCATATCCCAATATTTACTAAAGATATGAACCAGAATTTTATATATCTGGTTGTTTAATATAAATTAAATCTTTAAAATGTGATTACTAACAGCTTTATTGAGATGTATTTCATATACCATTGTAGGTGGTAATTCAAATTGTTTAAGTCAATACTCTTTAGTATATTCACAGAGTTGTACAATCATCAAAATCAATTTTAGAATGTTTCATTACCCCCAAAAGAAATTCTGTCAAACATAAGATGACATATCCGAGATGATGTCATAGCTAAGGTAATTGCCTAACCCAAGGTCATAAAGGTTTACTCCTATGTTTTCGATAACATACATGTGCAGAATGTGCAGGTTTGTTACATAGGTATACATGTGCCATGGTGGTTTGCTGCACCCATCAACCTGTCATCTAGGTTTTAAGCCTTGCATGCATTAGGTATTTGTCCTAATGCTCTCCCACCCCTTGCCCCTCACCCCACAACAGGCCCCAGTGTGTGATGTTCCCCTACCTGTGTCCACATATTCTCATTGTTCAACTCTCACTTAAAAGTGAGAACATGTGGTGTTTGGTTTTCAGTTCCAGTGTTAGTTTGCTGAGAATGATGGCTTCCAGCTTCATACATTTCCCTGCAATCCTATCATTCTTTTTGATGGCTGCATAGTATTCCATGGTGTAGATATGCCACATTTTCTTTATCCAGTCTATCATCGATGGGCATTTGGGTTCGTTCCAAGTCTTTACTATTGTAAATAGTGCTTCAGTAAACATACATGTGCATGTGTCTTTATAGTAGAATAATTTATAATCTTTTAGGTATATATCCAGTAATGGGATTGCTGGGTCAAATGGTATTTCTGGTTCTAGGTCTTTGAGGAACCGCCACACTGTCTTCCATCTTTTAAGATGTAATACTCAAAGAACATCAAGGAGATTTGATTAAAATTAAAAACAAAAACGAATAATATTAATTGGGCATGCTAAATGGGAACCAATAAGATCACTCAATCCCACACTGTCTAGAATTAAAGCTGTAATATTGGTAGGAACAAATTCTTGTGCTAGATCCTATGTAGAGTCTAGACTGGCACTCATGGAAAAAGCCTGTGAGTTCCTCCCAGCAATGACTACTGGGACTTTGTACTAAACCATATCCTTTCAAGGGGCAATTATCAGCTTTCTATTGGATATTAATTGAAACTACTGCAAAGACTAAAGGACATCAAATAATCTTGAAACTTGAAATACCCATGTTGTCATGGTGATGTAAGAGAAACATTTTAATGGGGATAGCAGTGCCCAGAAAAGTTTCATAATAAAAATGGGAAGTGGTTTATAGGGAATCATGCTGTGTGGGAAATTGCAAGAAGGAAATACTTACAAGCAGGGAGCCTCCTTCCCCCTAGGGCTGACTCTGGGACTGTGTGAGGAGCGACTGGATTCTATTATCACTTGGACAGTGTCCTGTAAACAAACCAACAAAGAGCTGATTAACTTGGGGATGGCAGTTCCAAAATGAATGGACAACATCTTGTTTGGAAGGCCACCACTATGATTAAAGAACATAAAAACAAATTATCACAGTGGGCTACATTATATGCTGTTTTTCTGACAGTGATGGAAGAACTAAACAGTAGTAGGAGCCCTTATCTTTAGGTTTTTATGATTCAGAACCAATGGCCTGGCCACACAGTTAGGCAAAAGAACAATAGAAACCAGGCCTAGTAAAGAGATGCCCATTTGAGGCAAAGCCCTGTGTAAATTACTGTGGGAATTTGAGGAGGGAGGACATTAAAGTAAGACATGTCAATCAATGCCCATCGGAAGAACTCTCTCCCAGATTCGGAAGGTGGTTGGATGTGACAAGTAGATGATCTCATGTGCTTGTTCAGGGTGGCCACCTGGGTATGTGAGTGAGTAGGCATGTGGCACTGCAGCAATGCCGAGGAGTGCTGGCTCTAGACATGTTCCTCATGAACCTCCAAAGCAAAAAAATGCCAATAAGAACTGTTCTGTCTGCCAGCAGCAGAGACAGGGACTGAAAATGACTATGTGGAAGATTCCCTGGAAAGGCCTTGAACATAGCTGGCAAGTGAGACTGATGCTAATAGCCTTGTAGGGCTACAAATGGGTCTTCATAGAAATAAACACTGACTCTGCACTGGATTTTGCTTACTTAGCAGTAGATCCTAATGCTCAGAGTGCTCAGCAGAATAGAAGATGCCTGACTGTTATACCTTCAGAGCAAGGAGTACACTTGATAGCCCATAATATTCAACAATGAGCAGAGAGAAATTTTCCTCAAGGTAATAGTTTGACAGAAAATTGAATGAACAAATATAACATTGGTTATCTAAAACCAGAAGAGATATAAGCATGAAGGGCTCACTTACACACCTTCATGAGTGTGTTCTCACACTCAACAGGTGTTGGCTGAAGGGAGTGTTCTTGCTAGATAAATTCCTCTCTTTTCCTGGTAGATATAGGGAAGAGAGGGTGAAAAAGGATGCTGGTATGACTATGCAATTTTTGCCAGGGAGGGAGGACACTGGTTTAATGACTATATTTTTTTTCTTTCTTATCCACATCCCCTAAAAGTATTTTTTTTTCCCATTTGATGTGGTAGTCTCAGGACTGCAATTACAAGTGTTGGAAGCAGGTATGATTTCTAAGCAAAAAATTAAGTGCAATTTTCAACAGTAAATTTGGCTAAATAGCCCACTAGTTCTTCACCTGTGTAACTTTACACTATTTGAATAAGAATGGAATGAGAGGGAGGTACTTGCTAGACTAATATTACTACCTGCAATTTAGACTCCCTGTACACTCCTGAATGTAATGTCCCTTCCAATGGTGGACAATTTGGGGTCTAAAAAAAGATAGAAGAAATAGTAGCTGAGGATAAAAGAATAAATAAATGGGTTATGTAATGAGGGAAATCCAATATTACATTAATAACTCTAAAGAGACTCAGAGCAAAAGATGATGTTATCTTTGAGTTCAATTATACTAGATGCCTGAAAGAGTGAACTGTAAGTTTGCTGAGATGACTCCTGCTTTTGGCTTTAGAATGGGTTTTAGTTTGTTTAGGCTGCTATAACAAACCATCTTAAACTGGGTGATTTATAAAAAGGAATTTATTTCTCACAGTTCTGGAAGCTGGGAAATCTACAATCAGGGTGCCAGCAGATTTGGAGTCTGGTGAGGACTTGCTCTTTGCTTCATAGATGGTACCTTCCCACTGCACCCTCACACTGGGGAAGGGGCAAACAGCCTCCTTCAGGCCTAACTTATGAAGACACTAATCATATTCGTGAGGGCTTCACCCTCATGACCTAATCACCTCCTAAAGTTCTACCCTCAGTATAATTTCATTGGTGATTAGATTTCAATATAGGAATTTTGCAGGGATATATACATTCAGGCCTTAGCAAAACATTACAACATTTCTAATAGAAACCTGCAAACTTGGGTAGCCTCACCCTGGAGATATTTTATATGACATGTTGATGGACTGGACTAATTACTAAATTACTAATAGCTAAATGGGACTTCTTATGATGTTTATGACCATTTTCCTGTAAGGGATCTGTGGCCAGAAACCAGGATTGGACTGTGTCATAATAAATACATATGTGGTCTTTATGCACATTTTCTGGCACATGGCTCCCAAAATTTATAGAATCTTCTAAGTGATAAAGATCTTATTGTACTCGAAGATACTGATGGCTGAGAGCTTCTGGATAACCTTAGGAGGGAGGCAGGTTTCCAGAGGGACCAACCTTGTGATTAGAGGATTGAAACTTTAGCCCTATCCCCTGATCTCCAGGGAGGGGAGAGGGGCTAAAAGGTAGAGTTGGTCACCAATGGCCAATGATTTATCAGTCATGCCTACGTAATATAACCTCTACAGAAACCCAAAAGGGTGGGATTTGGAGAGTTGCTAGGTTGGGCAAATTGTAGGGGGGCTGGGAGTTTCGTAAACATGGAGAAGCCATGGAAGTTCTGTTCCTCTTCCCTCTACCTTGCCTTATGCATCTCTTCCATCTTACTGTTCCTGAGTTGTATCCTTTTATCATAAATATAATTTTTACAAAAGCAGATAAACCAATCTGTGTTACTGAACAATGTAAATTATGTTAAAACACAAGCAATACAATACATAAGGCAAGCAATACATAAGAAACAAAATATCGATACCCAACATTTAAATATATCTTCCTTCCATCAGAAAGAAACAGACAGAAAACCCACCACAAAATAAAAGGCCAACATACACAAAGCAAATCACAAAAAAGTGTCAGTGGCAGTAACCATGTAGAAAGGCACTTAACCTCATTAGTGAACAGAGATATTTATATTAAAATAGCAAAATGCAGTCATATTTTGTGCTCAGATGGACTTTAAAAGAAAATGTTTTCAATAGTGCAGTAAGTCTACCTATCAACCAGCTTTTGTGGCTCCTCAAGTGCCTTGATACAAATTTCTCAGTGTCATCTCATTTCATTTCAGAAGAGGGAGGATCTATTTTGCTCTTCTTTTAGACATTCTGTTACTGACTCTACAGAAACAATGGGAAGACATTTATTTGGCTGAAATACACTGGGATATGTTTTATTGTCATAACAACGTCGACAACAAAATCTTTTCTTTTTACCAAATAATGACACTTTATATGCATATGACCTAAAAGTTAGAGTAAATTTGGCTACAAAATAATAGGTGTCAATACCATTGACAGGTAATGGGGGATCTTTAAATTTTATATCATCTCCTGACCACATCCTTTCACACATGAGAAGCCTGTGTTTTGAGACTGGTGACAATAATCATGCAATGGCCATAACAGACAGAATATATTGCAGGTTTGTCTATAAAGACTTTATCTCAGTGCCTGGTAGAGAGAATGGTTCTGAATATTAATAAGATAATTCTATGGCATTGACAGCATTATTACATTTATTGAACACTTTATACATTTTTCATTTAACAGATAAAATATCGTGACATGGTAACTCACTCATGCCAACACCAGGTAAGTAATTTGAAGGCCGGGCACAGTCGCTTATGCCTGTAATCTCACTACTTTGGGAGGCTGAAGCGGGCGGATCACTTGAGATCAGGGGTTGGAGACCAGCCTGGCCAACATGGTGAAACCCCATCTCTAGTAAAAAAAACACAAAAATTAGCCAAGTATGGTGGTGCACGCCTGTAATCCCAGCTACTCAGGTGGCTGAGGCAGGAGAATTGCTTGAACCCGGGAGGCAGAGGTTACAGTGCGCAGAGATTGCGCCACTGCACTCCAGCCTGGGTGACAGAGAGAGACTCCGTCCCCCCAAAAAAAAAAAAAAAAAAAGGGCTGGGAGCTGTGGCTAACGCCTGTAATCCCAACACTTTGGAAAGCCGAGGTAGGTGGATCACTTGGGGTCAGGAGTTCAAAACAAGCCTGATCAGCATGGCGAAACCCTACCTCAGCTAAAAATACAAAAATTAGCCAGACATGGTTGCGTGCGCCTGTAATTGCAGCTATTTGGGAGGCCAAAGCAGGAGAATCCCTTGAACCTACGGAGGAAGAGGTTGCAGTGAGCTGAGATTGCACCACTGCACTCCAGCCTGGGCAACAGAGTAAAACTTCATCTCAAAATAATAATAATAATAACAATAATTTGAACTTGAATTCAAGGTCTCCAATATGAGGTCCAGACAGACAGTGCTCTTGCCATTACACCAAGATTTTATTCGTAAAAGCTGTATGGTTTTCTTTTCTTTCTTTTTTTTTTTTTTTTTTTGGAGACGGAGTCTTGCTCTGTCGCCCAGGCTGGAGGGCAGTGGCGTGATCTCGGCTCACTGCAAGCTCCGCCTCCCAGGTTCACGCCATTCTCTTCCCTCAGTCTCCCGAGCAGTTGGGACTACAGGCGCCCGCCATTACGCCTGGCTAATTTTTTGTATTTTCAGTAGAGACAGGGTTTCACTGTGTTAGCCAGGATGGTCTCCATCTCCTGCCCTCGTGATCTACCCGCCTCGGCCTACCAAAGTGCTGGGGCTACAAGCGTGAGCCACCGCGTCAGGCCGAAAGCTGCATGGTTTTATTCAAGATTAGAGAATCCACCTTCCTGGAAAAGGTAGTCATACAATGTGAGCTGAAGTCCTTTAGTCATTGTGTCAACACAGGCTAAGGACATGGTGTTGATTAAAATGCCTTTTTATTCAGTATTACCACATCCTTTATAAGTAATTGGCCTCTGGTCCTCCAGGGGATAATAATTATTTTTAAGTTACTCTCTCTCATACTACTCATTAATACACTTTATATTACACGTTACATATATAAAGTGTATTACACTTAATAAACATGTTTTACATATATAAAGATTATATTCAAATATAATATATAAACTTTATAAACATAACTTTTCCATTTTATATAGTTTCCACTTTATATGCACTTTATACACACACGTAGTGTATATAAATACAAAAATGTATATTTAAAAAGTGGAAACTATATAAAGTATATATAAAGCATATATAAGTATACATATATAAAGTGTATTATATAAGTAGTATGAGAGTTACTTAAAAATAATTTTTTAATATGAATATGTAATTTTATTTTATTGTATTTATTTTGGATGTTATTAATTTATTTAAGTACGTTTATATGAAGTTCTCAAGGTAGTGTGTCACATTCGTTTCTAGTAATTAGCATAATAGGTTTTCAATTATTTTGATAGGTTAAGTGACCGATATTGCTTACCTCAATCTATATTTACTCACTTATCCATTCATTAAACAATATTTATTGGCATAAAATATGTTCTGAGCATTGTGCTAGATATTGGGGATTCATAAATAAAGTCAACGTTTCTGTCTTCATAGACCTTAAATGCTAGTGCAGCAATGAAATAAACAAATAGACAAATAAAAAATTGATATGAGGATTACCAAACGTTTGGTATGTTAAACAGAAAATATCTAAGATGATGTGCTAGAGGAAGGATAATCACAGAATTTCTCATTGAGGAAAATATATTCAGCAAAGACTTCAAATTAAGAATAAATCAGTGATATGGTGAGGTCTGAAGAATGGCATAGTACAGCAAAGAGTAAGTTAAATGCTTAAAAAAATAACTTGGCATGAAAATCAGAAAGTAATCTGGCTGAGGTGACTGAATGAGAGAATAATAAAGCATTTGGGAACAAGGATATGGAATTGAAATTTGTCCTAAATTCCATCTAATGGCATTTAAAGCTCACCACAGTTTTGCATAGAGAATGAATTAAACTGTGTGTACAGTGGTGCCATTAACTAGGGTACTAAAAACTTGGATAAAGAGAAAATAAAAATTTCTGTTTTGGGAATGATAAGTCTGAAATGCCTTTAAGATGCAAGGGTGATGGTTAAGATGATGGTTGGGTATATGATTCTGGACCTTGGGGAAAAATCTGAACCAAAGATAGAAATTTGGTTGATGAGTTTATAGATGCAATTTAATCTTTGGGTTTATTGAATAAGGACAGCGTGTTAGTTAATCCAGTCCATTTGGATTTAAATATTTGTTTTTTTGATTTTCGTTTTTATTTTAAATTCAGGGGCAGGTGCAGATTTGTTAGAAGGGTATATTGCATGGTGCTGAGGTTTGGGCTTCTATTGATCCTATCTCCCAGAGAGTGAACATAGTGCTTGATTGGAAGTTTTCAGCCCTTGCCCTTGACGCCTCCCTCCCTCCTTTTGGAGTTTCCAGTGTCTTTTGTTCCCATCTTCATGTCCTTTTAAATCCAAGATTAAGCTCCCACTTACAAGTGAGAACATGTGATATTTGGTTTTCTGGGGATTTTTTTTGTGTTAATTTGCCTAGGATAACAGCCTCCAGCTGTATCCATTTGGTGTAAAGGACATGATTTCATTCCTTTTATGGCTGCATAGTACATACACATGACGTATATGTACCTTGTTTTGTTTATCCACCTCACTGTTGATGAGCACCACAGTTGAATCCATATCTTTGCTATTGTGAATAGTACACTGATGAACATATGAGTGCATGTGCGTTTTTGGTAGAATAACTTACATTCCTTTGTTACCCATTAATTCCTTTGTTACCCAGTTTATACTCACTAATTAGGTTGCTGGGCTAAATGGTAGCTACATTGTTAGTTCTTTGAGAAGTCTAAAAACTGCCTTCCACAGGGGCTGAACTAAGTTGAATTCCCACCAAAAGTGTATAAAATGTCCCTTTTTCTCACAAACTTGTCAACATCTGTTTTTTTTTTATGTTTTAATAATAGCCATTTTGACTAGTGTGAGATGGTATCTCATTGTGGTTTTGATTTGCATCTCTCTGATGGTGATGTTGAGCATTTTTTCATATGTTTATTGGCCACTTGTGTGTGTTCTTTTGATAAGTGCTTGTTCATGTCCTTTGCCCACTTTTAAATGGGATTTTTTTTCTCGTTGATTCATTTAAGTCCTTTATGATTCTGGGTATTAGTCCTTTGTCAGATGTATAGTATTTGAATATTTTCTCCCATTCTGTAGGTTGTCTATTTCCTCTATTGAAAATTTCTTTTGCTGTGCAGATGTTCTTTAGATTAATTAAGTTCAAATTGTGTATTTTTAAAATTTTTTTGCATTTGCTATTAGGGTCTTCAAACCAAATTATTTGCCTAGGTCAATGTCTCAGAGTATTTCCTAGGTTTTCTTTTAGAATTTTTATAGTTTGAGGTCTTAAATGTAAATATTTAATGCATCTTGAGTTAATTTTTGTATATGGTGAGAGATAAGCATCCAGTCTCATTCTCCTGCGTATGGTTAGCCAGTTTTCCCAGCACCATTTATTGACTAAGGTGTCCTTTCCCTATTGCTTATTTTTGTCAACTTTGTCAAATATGAGTTGGTTGTAGGTATGTGGATTTATTTCAGGGGTCTCTATTCTGTCTCATTGGTCTACGTGGCCATTTTTGTAGAGTACCATGCTGTTTTTGGTTATGGTAACCATGTAGCATAGTTTAAAGTCAGGTAATGTGATGCCTCCAGGTTTGTTCTTTTGGCTTAGTATTGCCTTGGCTATTTAGGCTCTTTTTTGGTTTTATATGAATTTTAGAATAGTTTTTTTTTCTAATTCTGTGAAAAATGACATTGGTAGTTTGACAGGAATAGCATTGAATCTGTAGATTGCTTTGGGCAGTTAGAAATTTTAACGATATTGATTCTTCCAACCCTTGAGCATAGAATGCCATTCCATTTGTTTGTGTAATGTCTGATTTGTTTCAGCAGTGTTTCTTAATTCTCAAAGAGATCTTTCGCCTCTTTGGTTAGGTGTATGTGGCTATTATAAACGGGATTGCATTCTTGATTTGGTTCTCAACTTGAACTTAATTGGTGCATAAAAATGTCACTAATTTTATATGTTGATTTTGTATCCTTGAGACCTTACTGAAGTGGTTTAGTAGGTATAGGAGCCTTTTGGCAAAATCTTTAAGATTTTCTAGGTGTACAATTATATCATCAACAAAGACAGATAATTTGACTTTTTTTTCCTATTTTTATTTCTTTCATTTCTTTCTCTTGCCTGATTTCTCTGGCTAGGATTTCTAGTACTATGCTGAATAAGAGTGGTGAGATAAGACGTCCTTGTCTTGTTCCAGTTCTTAAAAAGGAATGCTTCTAGCTTTTGCCCATTCGGTATGACATTGGCTATGAGTTTGTCACAGATGGCTTATTATTTTGAGGTATATTTCTTCGATGCCTAGTTTGTCGAAGGGTTTCATTAAAAAGGGATATTGGACTTTATCAAATGTTTTTTCTGCATCTATTGAGATGACCATATTGTTTTGGTTTTTAATTCTGTTTATGTGGTGAATTACATTTATAGATTTGTGTTTGTTGAACTATTATTGCATCCCAGGAATAAAGTCCGAGTTGATCATGTTAAATTAAATTTTTGATGTGCTGCTAGATTTGGTTTGCTAGTATTTTGTTGAAGATTTTTGTATCTATGTTCATTAGATATATTGGCCTATAGTTTTTTGTTGTTGTTGTTGTTGCTTTGTCTTTGCCCGATTTTTGTATCAGAATGATATTGGTTTCACAGATTGAGTTAGAGAGGAGTCTTTCTTCCTTGATTTTTTTTTTTTTTTTGTAATAGTTTCAGTAGAATTGGTACCATCTCTTCTTTGTATGTCTGTTAGAATTTGGCTGGTCCAAGGCCTGTTTTGGTTGTTAGATTTTTTTGTATTACTGATTGAATTTTGTTACCTGTTACTGTTTTTCTTTCTGATTCAATCTTGGGAGGCTGTGTTTCCAGCAATTTATCTATTTTCACTAGATTTTCTAATGTGTGTGCATAGAGATGTTCATAGCAGTCTTGGAGGATCCCTTGTATATCTGTGGGATTGTTTGTGATGTTACCTTTGGCATTTCTGATTGAGCTTATTTAGATCTTCTCTCTTTTTTATTAATGTAGCTAGAGGTCTATCAATCTTGTTTATGCTTTCAAAGAACAAACTTTTAATTTCATTGACCCTTTGTATAGTTCTTTATTTAGTTCTGCTCTTATTTTAGTTATTTCTTTTCTTCTACTAGCTCATTTGTTTTTGTTTTTCTTAGTTCCTTTAAGTATGAGATTAGGTTGTTAATTTGAGATCTATCTTCTTATAGGCATTCAGTGCTATAAACTTTTCTCTTGCCACTGCTTTTGCTGTATCCCAGAAATTTTGGTATTTTCTGACTCTGTTTTTGTTTATTTCCAAGAATATTTTGATTTCTGCCTTAATTTTATTTTGTACCCAAAAGTCACTGAGGAGCAAGTTGTCTAATTTTCATGTATTTGTGTGGTTTTAAGAGTTCCTCTTGATATTTCTATTTTTATTCCATTGTGGTCTGAAAAGATAGTTGGTAGGCTTTCATTTTTAAAAAATTTATTGAGACTTGCTTTATAGCCAAGAATGTGGTCAATCTTAGAGCAGGTTTTGTGTGCATATGAGAAAAATGTATATTCTGTGATTGTTGGGTGGAATATTCTGTAGACGTATATTAAGTCCAATTGGTCAAGTGTTGAACTTAAGTCCAGAATTTCTTTGCTGGCTTTCTGCCTTGTTGATCTGTATAATGCCATAATTGGGGTTTTCAAGTCTCTCACTATTATTGTGTGGCTGCCAAAGCATTTTCTTAGGTCTAGAAGTAATTGTTTTATAAATCTGGGTTCTCTAATGTTGGTTGTGTATATATTTAAAATAGTTAAAGCTTCTTGTTCAATTGAACTCTTTATTATTATGTAATACTCTTCATTGTCCTTTTTTTACTGTTGTTGGTTTAAAGTGTATTGAATCTAATGAAAGAATAATGACCCCTGCTTTTTCCGTTTTCTATTTTCATGATATATTTTTCTCCACCCCCTTACTTTGAGTCAGTGGGTGCTGTTGCATGTGAGATGCATCTCTTGTAGACATCAGAAGGGTGGATCTTATTTACTTTTATCCAATTTTCTACTCTATGGCTTTAAAAAAGAACATTTAGGCCATTTACATTTAAGTTTAATATTGACATGTGAGGTTTAATTCCTGTCATATAGTGTTGTTAACTACTTGGTTTGTAGTCTCAATTGTGTAGTTGCTTTATAGGGTCTGTGGGTTATGTGCTTGTGTGTGCTTTTGTGATATCGAGCATTGTTCTTTTGTTTCCATGTTTAGAACCTCCTTAAGCATCTCTTGTAGGGCTGGTCTGGTTGTGATAAATTCCTTTAGTCATTGCTTCCCTGAGAAAGATTATTTCTTCTTAGTTTATGAGGCTTAATTTGTCAGGAAATTAAATTATTCCCTGGCATTACTTTTTAAAAAACAATGCTAAAAATGGGCCCCCAATCTCTTCTGGATTGTAAGGTTTCTTCTGAGACCTCCACTGTTAGTCTGATGGGTTTCTCTTTATAGGTAATATGACCATTTCTATAGCTGCCTTTAAGATTTTCTTTTCTTTTGGTTTGACCTTGTATAGTCTGATGACTATGTGCCTTAGGAATGATAACCTTGTAGAGTATCTCATAGGCATGCCCTGGATTTGCTCCATCTGTATGTTGACCTGTCTAGCAATATTGTAGAAATTTTTCTGAATTATATCCTCAAATATGTTTTCCAAGTTGATTACTTTCTCTTCTTATCTCTCAGCAATGCCAATAAATCATATATTTGGTCACTTTATATGCTCCCATATTTCTTAAAGGCTTTATTTATTTGCTATTCTTTTTTCTTTGTTATTTTCTAATGTGGCTGATTCAAAGGACTTTGACCTCTGAAATTCTTTCTTCTTCTTGGTTTAGTCTGTTGTTAAGGCATCTAACTGTATTTTGAAATACCTGTAGTAAGTTTTTTAACTCCTTATGTTCTGATTGGCTCTTTTAAAATATAGATACGTCATCTTTTAAAATGTGGATCGTTTTGCTGTTTACTTTGTGCTGATTTCAACTTTCTCTTGGATCTCATTGAGTTTCTTTGCATCCATATTCTGAATTCTATGTCTGTCATATCAGATATTTCATTCTGGTTAGGATTCATTGCTTGGAAGCTGACAGGATCCTTTGGAGGTGACAAAACACCCTGGGTGTTTGTAGTTTCAGAGTTCTTCTCATCTGAGAGAGCTGGTGTTTTTGTTGTTGTTGTTGTTTGTTTTTTTTTCTATTGGTTGGATGGGGCTCCTTGATTTTTTAATTTTTTTTCCAAGGTGGAAATGACTGTGATTTATATTGTCTATGATTGACTAACTTTGCTTCTGAGTGCTTTTAGGGTGGCAAGGCTCTGTATGGGTTTCCTTGGTGTGGCTTTCTCAAACACTGTTGTTGTAGTGATGCAATTTCGTTTGGTGGTATAGTTCAAGCTGCAGTCCAATAATTGGCACAAAAGAGTAAAAGTTAGCAGGTGGGGCAGGAGTGGAGGTAACAGAAAAGCATGAAAAGCACCCTCCCCCAGTGCATTTGCCTTCAGTGGGGTGGAGCCACTATAGAAGCCTGAGAAGTGGTCTCTTTCAGCCCACGCTCCCCAAGCCCTGAAGGAAAGAGCTACTGCCAAGTCCACAATAGTGCACTCATGCGGGGAACCAGGGGTTGAGAGATGACCACCCTTTCCATGTCTATTCTTGGCCTATGGTGGTGTCATCTTCAGCAGCTGGTAATGCCTCCATGTTTCCTTTGACCCAAGGGGGTCTTTGGTGACCTACACTCCCCTCTCTCTTAGCGACAGACCATGTTGAGGGTTAGATCTCTGATTCTAGGTATTTTTAGTGGCAAGGAGTCTGTATAAATTCCTTGGTTATAGGTAGTCTTTGTATAGTGGCTTATCCAAATGCTGGTTGCAGTAGCGATGTACTGGGTTTCCACAGGCTCACTGGCTCCTGTGGGGCTGGAATGGCATCAGGCTCAGGAAGCTTGTCCCATTCCCCCATGCTGTGTGCTTGTGTCAGCAGATGTTTTATTGTGTTGTGTCCTCAACCTCTGGGCCAGTAGGAGGCTCTTATGGGTAAGAGCCAGCTATAGCCAACATGGCTGGGGAGATACTTGATCCTTGTTTACTGAGAGAAGCTCTCTGTTGCCTCGGTCAGCGCATTGATCCTTAGAGTGCACAGTGGTCTGAGCTCCTTGCTCAGCCCTGGAGGAGGATACCAGGAAGGGTGGGGCTGGACTGTTGCAGGAACAAGCAACAGCAGCAAGGGGGGTGGTCCTGAGGGCAGCTACCAAGCATCCAGAGGTGTGCCTAGGCATGGAGCTAGGAAACTTCCTCTGCCCCAAGTTCTCTGCATGGAGAGTGGGTGAAGGGGAGTGGCCTAAACTCCTAATCCAGGAGAATGCCTGGATTCCTCCAAGTGCCCGAAGGTCTGCCTGGAAGTGGGGGGCCAGAGAGAGCCCTGCTGTACCATGTTCTCTGCACCTGAAGAATAGAGAGGCTGAGATTGCTAATCTGGGCAAAAAGGCGCTCTGAATGCCTGGAGATATGTCTGTACGGGAAGCAAAGAGGACACCACCAAGGTCTTTTCTCAGGATGAGTGGGGTGGCTCAGGCTGCTAATCTGGGTGGGCAGGTATTCTGAATGCCTAGAGATGTGCCTGGAGTTGGAGTGTAGAGGGCTCCACTTCACCACAAGCTCAGAAAAGCAGGCACCCAGCAATGGCACAGACAGACCGCTTATAGGTTGCCAAAGTTGCAAGTCTCATTATCCAGAAGAAACTGTGTCTGCCACAACTGTATTCTCAGTGGACATCTGTGACAGGGGAGAGCACAATTTCAGTGCCCACTGCTGGGATGCTTTCCACACTCGCCATTCAATTTTGGCTGTGGAGGCTTCTACCCCACTCCAGAACAAGCTCTCCAGATTGGAATATTTGAAGATTAACAGAAGTGGAGGTTATGGCCAGAAACCCGAGATGGGAGTTGCTGGGAAAGGAGAAAGAAAGACTTTAATGTGGAAAGGAGAGGTGCAGTATGCCAGTGCTCTCAAAAGGCTAAGAACAGAGAATAAGAGAAAGGTCCCCTGGATTGGCCATGTGGAGATCTTAGTGTCATGAAATTAGTGTTACGAGTGCTGTGAGGAAACAAAGTAAAATGATCGAAAGATATATTTATTTGGTTTCCTTTGTGGGTTTTTTGTTTCATTTTTTCTATTTTTCTATTTTGTAATTGAGTAGTTATACACCTGGACTTGTTTTAATTAAAATTTTAACCTCAAAATTCCTGTCAACACACACACACCCATAAACACACACACACACACACACACACACACACACATTCATCGGGGCTATTTAAAAGTATGTAAAAGCAACCAGAACAAGGACATTCTGCACGACCCTAAAACAAGGACTCCATTCTATTCAAAAGATAATCTCTATAAAAACAGGTAGGTCTGATAGAATCAATCCAAATGCCCATCAGTATAGATTGGATAAAGAAAATTTGCTATGTATACACCATGGAATACTGTGCAGCCATAAAAAGGAACAAGATCATATCCTTTGCAGGGACATGGATGGAATTGGAAGCTGTTATCCTCAGCAAACTAACACACGAACAGAAAACCAAACACTGCATATTCTCACTTATAAGTGGGAGCTGAATGATGAGAACACATAGCGGGGAACAACACACACGGAGGCCTGTTGGGTTGGATGCGGGGAGGGAGAGCATCAGGAAAAATAGCTAATGGATGCTGGCTTAATACTTAGGTGATGGGATGATCTGTGCAGCAAGGCATTGTGGCACACCACCTATGTAACAAACCTGCAGATTCTGCACATGTACCCTTGAACTTAGAACAAAAGTTGAAGAAAAAAACAAACAAACAAACACATGGGTCTAAATGAAAAAAACACTAACAACAAACATTCAGAATATGCCCAGCTTTGTATGACATAACAAAGATGTTAGAACACTGCTTCTACTTTTGAAAAAAAAGAAGGATGGAGGATACTCACAAAATAGATCTGAGAATGAGAAATCTCTCTCTTCCTATAGTTCTTAGTCATCGGGTAAAATTGAAGATATCAGGTTAGAGTTGGCAGATATTTTGGGGAGTAATTATGAAAAGTTTTTCTGAAAGAAATTTAAATAGAAATTGAAAATTTGAGAGATTACAGAAAGTAAACAGAAAGAACTATTAATGTGGATAAAGTTACAGATATAGACAACTATTTTCACTATTCAACCTTCATATTTGAATGATGAAATACAATTATGCGTTTAAAATTTACTCAGTCTTGATGTTCTGAAGAAAAAACATTGCATGTAGTTGTAACCTTCTGGCTATCATTCTAAAACATTTCAAATATATACAATAATATAAACATTTTCTTTTAAAAAGACATATATAAAAGTATTTTCATGTATATATTTGGTATATCATGAAAAGTATAAAATGTAAATTAAATTATTTTCTTGTCCTGCCTTTTTCTTTCACTTCATCCTCACTCTTTGATGTTACTAAGGAGTTATTACTGCTAATATGCACTAAATATTTCTCAGAAGGCTTTATTTTAAACCTTCTTCATACTATATACTGAACATATATTAGAGTCCAGATTTGAGCTAACTTTTAAAAAGTTAACTGAATATGATGTGGCTGAATTAGGATAAATCACCTTTAAATGTCAAGTGCTATATCTGAGCTAATAATGGGCTTGCCTTTAGGTCATGGTGGTATATTTTTCTCCTGATAATGTAAAATCAATTAGGTTTTTTAGCATTGATTTATGAGGACATTAATATATCTACTTCTAAAATCAACTTGCTTTTCAAAATCTTATAGAAAAATAATAATTTATGCTCAGATTCCTTTACATAATTTATTTTGCTGAAAACTTACGAACTAAAAAGTAGTTATTTATATTAGGTGTCAACCACCCAAATGGGAAAAAATGGCACATATTGCAGTGAAATTCACTCATAGTAGAATTGTCTCATGAATTGTTGAAGTCTTGACAAGAGACGTGTAGAATATAGGAATGTTTTCTGCACTGGTCTCGTACAATGTAAGGCCAAGGCCTTCTTGTCTAATCTTTCCACATTTCTTTTAAATAGCAACACTCAGATAAACAAGACATTTTAGAATTCTTAGAATATAAAATTTAGAAAGATATTGAAGTAAAAATTATTGAGTTACCAAATTATTGAGTTACCAATCATTAAGTAAACACTTAGAATATTGTATTAGATTAGATAAAAATAGTGGCTCCCTACTGGGGAGTTTCATAACATCAAAATGAATGGTAGGAACATGACATTGTTTTTCCTTTCTCCACTTCTGTTTCTCCAAGCTGAGTAAAAAATCACTAAGAAAGTACTACACACTGTGAAGTCTCTCATATTTCAGGATTTCCATATATAATTACCAGACATAGATCTTTCCCAGAAATCTTTGCTAATGAAGCTTACAATAAACAAACTAAAAACAGACTCTAAGTGTATAATTGCATATAATTTTCTTTTTTTTTTAAAAAAACTATATTTTGTAGAGGCTTGGGAAACTTAGAGATAGCAAAACCATTTCTTTATTGCTAGCTCCCCATAATCCTAAAGTCATGCCTAGGCTGATTCATTGTAAGATCATGAAAAGCATTTCCCATACCAGGCATTCCCCATTTTAAATAAAATTAACACATTCTTTCCCCACATAATATGTGTCCTATGGCTAGTTTTTAAATGCTGACTGACAGAGTAAATAACATTGTGGTGATTAATTACGGACATCTCAATGTTTACTTGAAAGTCATTGGAAAGAATCAGGAACTTTATAAATCCTATCTCTAGCACCAACTTGATAACAGATACAGCTCTCAAAATAATTGCATTTTTTTACTTATAAGCCTCTTCCATAAATTCTGCTCACTATCTATAAATAAAATTCAAAGAGTGAGCCTAGAAAAGACAAGGTAATAAGTCCTTTCACAGATGAAAGAAGACATATGTCAATTTAAGTCAGGCAATATAGATGGCAAATATAGACAGGCATAATCTGTAATGTAAGTCAATTTACAGTGTTTTTCTTTTTTTCTCTTTAACAAATAATGTGCCATCTAGAATGGTTGAAATATCATCTGTTAAATGAAAATATCAATTTCTTCCCCACTGTACTGGTTATAAATTGCCTACACATAACGTAGTCACATGTTGACTTCAGATTCTCTTTATTTTGTGGTATTTTCTACTATTTCCAGTGAAGGAAAGTCATTTATTCAAATGCTTTCTCATGCCATTATGAATTCAGAAACCTAAATTATGCTTAAATTATCTATCCAAATAGAGAAGAAAAACGCCCAATGTTGCTTTAAGTGTTTGCTCATATAAACCTGAAAATACAAGTTTTGTCTTTTTTCATTTTGGAATCAGCCTAACACTAAATGCAATGCATTAAATTAGGAAGTTCAGTTAGTTTATTTTGCTTTAAAAAACTATTTTCAAAGATTAGTAAATGAATCTCCTCTTTGTCTAGAAACTGTAGAATTATACATTTAAGGCCGGGCGAGGTGGCTCACACCTGTAATCCCAGCATTTTGGGAGGCCGAGGCAGGCGGATCACCTGAGGTCAGGAGTTCGAGACCAGCCTGGCCAACATGGTGAAACCCCATCCCTATGAAAAATCCAAAGTTAACCAGGCATGGTGGTGGGCTCCTGTATTCCCAGCTACTTGGGAAGCTGAGGCAGGAGAATCACTTGAACCCGGGAGGCAGAGGCTGCAGTGAGCAGAGATCACGCCACTGTACTCCAGCCTGGGCAACAGAGCGAGACTCTGTCTCAATCAACCAATCAATCGATCAATCAAACCAGAATTATACATTTAAGTAATGTCATGAAATATTTTGTAAGAAAAGCTGATTATCTGTCAGGAGAAAAATTGCTGAACAAGAACCTTAACATTGGAAATTTGGCCTCTACAACACACAAGTGTTATATTTTAATAAACCACAAGTTTAAAACTCTTGTAGGCATATTTATTTTGTAAAGATGTTGAAACAATTGTATTCATAAGCTCAATAAGGAAATGAGGGGGAAAAAGGTGATTTGGTAATGGTGATGCTCATGCACATATTTTCAAATAGGCAATAATCACTTAAATGATGGGATTAAATGCAAGCCCCAATATGAAAAAGTGTGTTCCATTTGGTTTGCTAAAACAATAAGAATAATTATTCTTCAAGTACGCTAAAAAGGTCACCAGTCTTGGTAAAAATGTGTTCTTGCAGTTTCCTTTCAATTGTTTCGTCTTTCCTAATTAAGACACATTATACATAAATGAGGTTTCAGGTTAAGCTATGAGTAGATTGTTTTCCTACCTGCCACCTCTTAAATGTCCTCAATCAATCTCCTATTTTTCATAGACCACTGTCTATATATATATATATAAAACGCACACACACACACACACACACACATATATACACAATTTTTTTTTAATTTTTGCAATAACAGATTCTTTTAGAGTTTGAAGTAGGAATCCTGTCAGAGGCACCTTGAAAGCAATAGCAATGATAGCACTCATAGTCTCATATGGTAGCCACAGTTCAGACTTCTGCTCTATGCAAATAAAAATGCAAATTAAAAAAGGAAAAAATAGGCTGGGTGCAGTGGCTCATGCCTGTAATCCCATCACTTTGGGATGCCAAGGAGAGCAAATCATCTGAGGTCAGGAGTTCAAGACTAGTCTGGCCAACATAGTGAAACCCTGTTTCGACTAAAAATATAAAAATTAACCGGGTGTGGTGCTGGACTCCTGTAATCCTAGCTACTTGGGAGGCTGAGGCAGGAGAATCGCTTGAACCCAGGAGGCTGATGCTGCAATGAGCCAAGACTGCGCCATTGCACTCCAGCCTGGGCAACAAGAATGATACTCTGTCTCAAAGAAATTAAAAAAAAAAAAAAGGAAAAAAAAACCCTCTCCTTTTAACAATGGATAAAAGTCACCTTCTCTTCCTATTTTTCCTCTCCCCTTGAGAAGAGTTAAGTCTACCAACTTTCTACCTCTCCCCTTGAAGTAATAGCCACCAGGGTTCCCAGATATAGGGGAATTATCTTAGTAAATATAGTATGTTTAACTGGGGGCTGGGGGGCTCTCTCAGAAACTGCATGTTCATGCTTTAACAGTACTGGATTAACCTATTTTAGGTTTTCTATGTCTTATTTACTGCTCTACTTTTGTCCTGAGTGCATGAACATGTTCAACTTGACACTTGGCTTTTTTTTTTTTTCTTTTTTTGGTTTGTTTTGGAAACTAATGAATTTCTCTGGATAACTATTGATTTGGAAATGACTAAGAGCCGAAGTCATGGTCTGTTGTTATCTGGGTTTATCTACCAGAAAAAGCAAAGAATGTGAAATGAGGACACCCCCACACAATCCCCCAGCCCACAGAGTCCTTCACATATATTTAATTCAAACTTGATTGAAAAGCTTAGGGTAGCATTCATTATCTAAGGGTAGATTGAAGTAGGGCACTTGGGGTAATATCTTGTAAAAGACACTGCTTTAAAAAAACAATTGCTGGCTTCTCATTGGTGACAAAATGGCTAATATTGTCACCTGAGGGGAAAACTATGACAATGTCATCCCGGCAAAGAAGTCAAAAAGGTGATTGGTCTACATAACATTTCGGGCAGTGGCATCCAGTAATAGGCATGAGCATGATGACACCTAAGATGACCAGAATCTCCATGTCTTTAAACAAACTTTGATTCTAATACAGTTTTGTGACTGTGGCTAATGTGTGGGTCCTGGAGTAAAGCTATCTGGGTTTTATTCTAACATAGGATACTTCACCTCCAAGTTTCAACTTTCTTCCTTTATGTAATAGATATTATAGTGTACCAACATGAAAAGGTCAATGTGAGAATTCACACTGTAATCCCATGATGCAAATTATTATTACCAGAACATAGTTTAGTGTACAATAAATTCTACATATTAATGATAATAACCATGACTATAACAGTTACATTGTCTATTATCTAAATTCAACATTCAGGCACCGAGTTTGAAAAGAAACAAAACAAAACAAAATAGACATGTCTTTCCTGAATACAAAAGTATTCGTAGATGAAGCTAATGAAAACTGAAGGACATCTATGTGACTGAATTGGAATCAAATCTAATAAAGAATGCTTGAAAGTATGGCTATTTGGGATTTTATTATCACAAGATATTTACTCTGCCTACTTCAAAAAAGCTTTGGCACATTTGTTTTCTTCATTTGCCTACAATTTGGAAATAAAGGGACATGAAATAATTAAAATTTTTTGGAGAGGGTTCTTCTATCCAATGTGGAGCAACATAGTTATTGAAATAAGTATTGAAAGTAGTAAATAAACATTGAAAAACAATAATAGTAAATATTGAAAAATATCTCTATGATATTTTTCATTTACTATGTATTTGAAGACCTTTTTACTCAGTTTATATATAGGTAGTACATTATGTGTAAAATTGCATACTCTGGATATAGACTAGAATTTATTTAATCATGACCCTACTAACAGGCATTTGTGGACTGTTTTTCCTATTTCATAATAGGAAAATGTTAGAAAAATTTTGCAGTGCCCATTCATATACATAAGTCTGAGCACACACAGAACTATTCTTCTTTAGATTTCAGAAATAAATTTTTAGATTCAAACATGCACTTTTTAAAAACATTATTATTGCCAAGCAGCTCTCCACAAAGGTTCCTTATCTGTGCCAGATGGGGACACTTTTCTCTCAGGTTCACATTTACTCTTTTGTAGACTCCTTTCTGTATCGATGGGACTAGAAGTCTGCAAAGTATGTTAGATGACTAGAAAACAGAACGCAGTGGGTAGAACAGAAGGAAGAAAGGCTAGAACTTGTAGACTGCTGTCTGGGGGCAGTAGCAAATCTGTGATATTTGAATTAACAGTGTCTGTCTTCTTTTTTTTCTTTTTTTTCTTCTTCAGCTATTCCTACTTCTCATGCTTTTGTTCTTTCAGTCTTTCCAGTAGCTTTGTAAGAAGTGGCTACTTTCAAAAATGTAGATGAGATAAGTACAGCCGATCCTGAACAAAATAGATTTGAACTGTGTGGGTGCCCTGTACATGAATTTTTTTCAATAAATATACTGGAAACTTTTTTGGAGATTTGTGACCATTTAAACAAGGGCAATCAGGCAAGAAAAAGAAAGAAAGGTATCCAAATAGGAAGAGAGGAAGTCGAATTGTCTCTGTTTGCAGATGACATGATTGTATATTTAGAAAACCCCATTGTCTCAGCCCAAAATCTCCTTAAGCTGATAAGCAACTTCAGCAAAATCTCAGAATACAAAATCAGTGTGCAAAAATCACAAGCATTCCTGTACACCAATAATAGACAAACAGAGAGCCAAATCATGAGTGAACTCCCATTCAAAATTATTACAAAGAGAATAAAATACCTAGGGATCCAACTTAAAATGGTTGTGAATAACATGTTCAAGGAGAACTAAAAACCACTTCTCAAGGAAATAAGAGAGGACACAAGCAAATGAAAAAAACATTCCATACTCATAGATAGGAAGAATCAATATGAAAATGGTCATACTGCCCAAAGTAATTTATAAATTCAATGCTATCCCCATCAAGCTACCATTGACTGCCTTCACAGAATTGGAAAAGACTACTTTAAAGTTCATATGAAACCACAAAAGAGCCCTCATAGCCAAGACAATCCTAAGCAAAAAGAACAAAGCTAGAGGCATCATACTACCTGACTTCAAACTATACCACAAGGCTACAGTAACCAAAACAGCATGGTACTTGTACCAAAATGAATATATAGACCAATGGAACAGAACAGAGGCCTCAGAAATAATGCCACACATCTACAACCATCTGATATTTGACAAACCTGACAAAAACAAGCAATGGGGAAAGGATTCCCTATTTAATAAATGGTACTGGGAAAACTGGCTAGCCATATGTATGCAGAAAGTTGAAACTGGATCCTTTCCTTACACCTGATACAAAAATTAACTCAAGATGGATTAAGGACTTAAATGTAAGACCTAAAACCATAAAAACCCTAGAAGAAAACATAGGCAATACCATTCAGGACATAGGCATGGGCAAAGACTTCATGACTAAAACGCCAAAAGCAATGGCAACAAAAGCCAAAATAGACAAATGGGATCTAACTAAACTAAAGAGCTTCTGCACAGAAAAAAAAAAAAAAGAAAAACCCATCATCCGCATGAACAGGCAGCCTACAGAATGGGAGAGAAATTTTGCAATCTATCCATCTGACAAAGGGCTAATATTCAGACTCTACATAGAACTTAAACAAATTTACAAGAAAAAAACCCAAACAACCCCATCAAAAAGTGGGCGAAGAATATGAACAGACACTTCTCAAAAGAAGACATTTATGTGGCCACCAAACATGAAAAAAAACCTCATCACCACTGGTCGTTAGAGAAATGCAAATCAAAACCACAACAAGATGCCATTTCACACCAGTTAGAATGGTGATCTTTATCTCTTGTCAGGAAACAACAGATACTGGAGAGGATGTGAAGAAATAGGATGCTTTTACACTGTTGGTGGGAGTGTAAATTAGTTCAATCATTGTGGAAGACTACTCAAGGATCTAGAACCAGAAATACCATTTGACCCAGCAATCCCATTACTGGGTATATACCTCAAGGATTATAAATCATCCCACTATAAAGACACATGCACACTTATGTTTATTGCAGCACTGTTCACAATGACAAAGACTTGGAACCAACCCAAATGCCCATCAATGATAGAATAGATAAAGAAAATGTGGCACATACACACCATGGAATACTATGCAGCCATAAAAAAGGATGAGCTCATGTCCCTTGCAGGGACATGGATGAAGCTGGAAACCATCATTCTCAGCAAACTATCACAGGAACAGAAAACCAAACACTGCATGTTCTCACTCATAAGTGGGAGTTGAACAATGAGAACACATGGACATAGGGAGGGGTGCCTGTTTGGGGTGGGAGGGACTAGGGGAGGGATAGCATTAGGAGAAATACCTAATGTAGATGATGGGTTGATGGGCACAGCAAACCACCATGAAATGTGTATACCTATGTAAAAAACCTGCACATTTTGCAAAGGTATCCCAGAACTTAAAGTATAAATTTAAAAAAATCACAGATGAACCTTGCAGCTTAGAAATATTGAAAAAAATTAAGAAAAAGCTAGGTATGCAATGGATGCATAAAATATATGTAGGTAGTAGTCTATGTGTTAATCAACTGTTTATGTTATTTATAAGGTTTCCAGTCAACAGTAGGCTATTAGTCATTAGGTGTCGGGGGAATCAAAATTTATACATGCATTTCCAACTGCAGGGGTGGAGGGGTTGGTACCCCTAATGCTTGGGCTGTTAAGTCAACTGTACTTTCTCATACATACAAAAGCTGAAAGCAGATCTTCACTACAAGAAAAGTTAAACTGACAAAATTTGCTCTTTGAGGAAATTGAAATTATTTGGATAAAAAATTACCTAAAACCATTTAGAGAGAGAAGAGAGGGGATTTAGAAAGCACCTGAAATAAAATAAGGGCTGCGAACAAAATTTTCTAGCAATCAATGAGGAATAACTGGGGTTGATAGTAGAATAAGGCATAGATTCCTTCTCCTCTGTTAACATCGAGCTTGAATCTATTTCTGGAAAGAAAACAAGTGTTATATGCTTTGCTCTGCTCTCAAAATCAATGTATGTTGGATGGCATGAGGATGTCTATGCTAATGAGAGATCCATGGCTTTCTTTCAGAAGACACAATCCTCATCCTAATGACCTACTGACCACCATCAGAAGAGGTGAGCATAGTGACCACTTCTTGCAACCATCAGTGGTGGTGCTGAAAGTTTTGAAATACTAGGCATTTTGTTAACTTTAAGTCATTTGTTTAAAATGGCTTTTACTTTAAATACAAAGTTTTCTCTTTAAGATAGCATTTTCCCAATGAAGGGTCAAATTGAATTCAGATGTGCTCATTTCTGGAGCATAAGGGCTGTCTGTGAAAAGCTTTCTTTTCTGTGCTAAAACCACTCAGGATTTCAACTACAAGAGTGGGTCCAATTTCTCAAGGCTAATAGAGAAAGCAAGGTTTAAATCTCACATTTAAAAGCCAAGTCTTACTTTTATTTTACTGAAATAACCTGCCTGTCTAATCCTTCGCCTTGTGGAAAGCAGTGCTGGGATTAGAAAGAAGGTTTTCTTACAATAGACTGATCTTAAAATACAAAGATTATTTTCTCTGGGTTCAAACAAATGAGTATTCATGCCCCATCAGGTACCTCCGAGTAGAGGCTGCCTCATTGGCTCTGCTTATTTTTGTTTTCCTCTCACCTTTCTACTTGGCTTCTGAGTCTTGAAATGACATTAGAGGTCTTTTTGTTTTGAGATCAAATTAACTATTTAGCCAAATCACTGAAGTGGAGGATATAATGCTCAGAAGTAAGCATTTCATTTACAAAAATGCACGTTATCTAGTGCAATAAATGGTGATATTGTGTCTTTAGGCCCTGGTTTTTCATCATTTGGGGAAATAATAAGACTTTTCATTTTCTCCCTTAGATCATAAGTGCTGTGTTATTAGTGCCGTCTCAGCGTTAAACCAGGTTGCAAGCTGCTTATTCTTCAAAATGAAGCTTTATTTTTGAGTTTAATTGCTTTTTCAGGAGCATTATTAGCTTCCAGAAGGGAAGAAAAAATTAAAGCAGCTGAAGCTGTGGTTCAGTGTATTTGAAGCAAAAACACACATTTCAAAAACTAATGCAACAATACTGTACCAATTATCAAGAATATTATTACGGAATATACATAGTGTGATAATTTTAGAAAGAAAGATCTTTTAAATACCAGGTGTGAGCACCATCTGTATTTTTCTGTTAGGTTCTTTTAACGTGCTGAATAAAGAATTATCCTGTTGTCCTGAGAGACCAGATAATGCCCAAACTCCCTGAACTTTTAAAAATCTCATCTCCACTAAAGTTTACATCTTAATCTATCACCAAATTCTAGAGTCAACCTTTTTAAGATCTATCAAACTCATAATTTTTTCATTTTCACAAACTTCATTATATGTCAGATATGGTAGCATTTGCTACCATTATCATCCGCTCTCTACTAACTGGCTTCCTTGTCTTCTAATCCAACACCAGTGTCAGAGTAATCTTTCACTAAGTCATTTCTATGCTATTCCCCCAGAAGCGTCAAGCACCTTCATATATTCCTGTTGTACATAAAGTTAAAACAAAAACGTTGGTGTTTATTTTCTGTATTGACTTGGCCATCTCTTTTCCTCTCTTATTTCTAATGGACAATTCAACTACTCTCTTTGTCTCTCTCCTTCACTCTATGCTAATCTACTAGCTTCATATATAGAAAGTGCCACTGTATAGGAAGATTAGAAAATTGAGATTAGAAGACTGTAGGAAGAGGCATCGAAGAGTCCTAAAGAAGTTGGCACAAAGTGTGGGACTCTCGTATTAGATGTTAGTACCTATCAGAGAGCACCCACTGCAAAAGAGACAATGAATAAGAAGAATAGGATGACTCAGACAGTTGAGTTAGCAAACCTCTTTTCTTGACCACCTGGACGCTTATGCAATAGACTTTTGAATGGAGTTGTCACAGTGACCTTTGATCAATGAATCATGAGATAAGCATCCTAGCATAGTCCCCTTTCATCAAGTGTGATTTTTTTTTTTTTTTCTGACAGGGTGTCTCTCTGTCACCCAGGCTAGAGTGCAGTGGTGCAATCTTGGCTCACTGCAACCTCCATCTCCTTGGTTCAAGCAATTCTCCTACCTCAGCCTCCTGAGTAGCTGGAATTACAGGTGCCCACCACCACACCCAGCTAATTTTTGCATTTTTAGTAGAGACGGGGTTCCACCATGTTGGCCAGACTGGTCTTGAACTCCTGACCTCAGGTGATCTGCCCGCCTCGGCCTCCCAAAGTGCTGGGATTACAGACATGAGCCACTGCGCCCGGCCATCAAGTGTGATTTAGCTCCTGCTGTTGATGAGTGTTCCGTCTGTCAGCAAATAAGACCTACACCGTGCCCCTGATATAGTCCCATCTTTCTAGAAGAACAGCCAGCCCTTTGGTGGAAAGTTGATTACATTAAACTCCTTCTTCTCTAACAAGGACGATAACTTATCCAAACAGATATTGACACATTCTCTATATGTGCTTTTCTTTTTTGTCCCCAGTGCCTAACCATTATTTGAGGACTCATAAAGTGTCTGACCTACTGACACAGGGTATTGTATAACTTTACTTTGGGTCAAGGGACACACTTTGCAACTTTAAGACAAAGGAGGAGCATCCCAGGGCACATGACTTTGAAATTCACTATGTTTGCTGCAAACAGTAGCATTCAGAAGTTGCTGCCCTGAAAGAGTACGGGAATTGTCTTTAAAATATGCTGCTGAGGAATCAACTTGGGGGTGACACTCCCTGAAAGTACTACATCTTTTGAGATGCAGTGTGTATCTTAAATTGAGGTAGGTACATAAGATGTAAAAAAAAAAGTATGAGAAGCAAGTTTTGAGAATAAGAATGACCACTCCCACCATCACTTCCACTTATCACTTGAAGTATTAGAGCTTTCTGCTTCTTCCCCATATGTAGGCTTTGTGGGCCCAGAAGTTCAGGTTCCAGATGGGGACTTTCCCTACCAAGACACATAGCAAGAGTCTCACTTGACTCAATGCCACGCCCACCATCTGGGAACTTTAGGCTAGAAGGTGAGCAGAAAAAAAAAGGAGTTACAACACTTTAAGTAGCTCTGCTGCCATTTAATGCTGGCAAGGAGGCATACATTTTGCAGTCAGGTGATCCACTGAGACATCTCTTGATATTTCTAAGCCCAAATATAACTTTAAGTGTGGAATTACTGTAGCTAAAGCTTGATAAGAACATGCTAACAAGGACTTGAGGCCCCTCAGGGATGAGAGTCTGGTATTCCACATTGAAAGCCATGTAGACCACTGGAACAGGTAGCCAAGGAAGAGGGGAAATTAGAAAGCTGGTAGAAACAACAGTGTGTTGTGGTTTTAGGACCACAGCAAGACTACAGAAATTTGTCTCACCTGCCTTCTTCTTATAAATTTCTCCCCATATTGTGACCAACCAGAATTATGGAGAGGCTGTGCTTGATAAAATAAACATTGGAGAAGCAACTCCTTCTAGCGGTGCAAAGATGGCCTCTCATAGATGCTGCTAAGCTATAATCTCTTTGAATGCCCCAGCTGTAATGTGCATTCTCGGCTGCCACCTCATAACTGTTTCTTCTGTAGAGAATTGCCTTTGGGAGCCACTTCTCTAGGAAGTGCCTGAGAGCATATGTCCTTCCCTGGGGCAGCCTGCTGCCAATAATGGAATGACACTGTACAACAACTCAGTCCCCTTACCTCCATGTAGTTCAAAACCGTGGGGTCATTTAGGCTTCAGAGCTTGCAATGGAATAAGCTGAGACTAGATTCCAGCTGATATGATATAGTTCCTTAACTTCTCCTCTCTATCCTGCTTGCTTCACTTTCTTGTGGGATTGTGAGAACATTTCTTCTATGAATGCTTTTCACAAATAGTCTCTACTCAGGTTCTACTTCTATAGAACCGTATTGAAGTCAGTATAACACTGAGTATTTTAACTCACAATTATATGTGTTGTTACTTACTTAAACCACATTGCTAAATTTTCATTGCTCCTTAACAGTCTCCATTTTGAGTATTTATATTGAAGCCCCATTGTATAGCACCCCTGGAAGGGACTCTTGCTATCTTTGGCCCACAACCCATAGGATAGAGGCACTAGTACTGAGAGGAATGAGCTGAGCAGGCTACCATTGACTAAATAGGTCTCTATGGCATTTTTCATAGTAATCTGCCTTAGTGAAGATGCCATGGGCAATACAAGTTTATAAAAGTTTTATCACAAGCACAGAACCACAGACACATTGGGATAGATATAGCTTTGTACTGTGGCCCACAAGGATCGTTCTGGGATCCCTCTCTTCCTATTCATTTTCTGTTGTATTCAATTTGCATTCAATTTTTCTTCAAGAGAATGCATTAAATGTTTGTTTTCTAAATACCTTATTTTTTTTTTTTTTGAGACAGAGTCTTGCTGTGTCGGCCAGGCTGGAGTGCAGTGGCATGATCTTGGCTCAACTGCAACCTCCACCTCCTGGGTTCAAGCAGTTCTCCTGCCTCAGCCTCCCAGGTAGCTGGGATTACAAGCACCTGCCACCACGCCCAGCCAACTGTTTTGTATTTTTAGTAGAGATGGGGTTTCACCATGTGGGCCAGGCTGGTTTCGAACTCCTGACCTCAAGTGATCTGCCCACCTCGGCCTCCCAAAGTGCTGGGATTACAGGCGTGAGCCACCATGCCCAGCCTAAATACCTTATTTTCTTTGGAGGTAGAGTAGGGTTATTTTCACGTTGCATCAGAAAAATATGTGTGAATCCGAGTTGCTGCTGGGATTTTTTTCTCCCAAATAGCTTTTAGTAGCTCTAAAATTGGGTGAAACATAGCAAATGGAGCTGGAACAAATGGACATCCACATGCAATAAAAATGCATCTAGACATAGACCTTTCACCCCTTACAAATATGAACTCAAAATAGATCACAGACCTAAGTGCAAATCAAAAACTGTAAAACTCCTAGAAGATAACAGGAGAATATACAGGTTATCATGGTGACTTTTTAAATATAACACCAAAGACATTATCCATAAAAGAAATAATTGATAAGCTGGACTTTATTAAAATTAAAAATATCTTCTCTATAAAAGACATTGTCATGAGAATGAGAAGATAAGTATCATAGACTTGGAGAAAATACTTGCAAAACACATATCTGATAAAGGACTTTATTCAAAATGTATGAAGAATTTAAAACAACCCAGTTAAAAAATGAACAAAAGACCTGCAAACACCTCATCAAAGAAAATATACAGATGCAAATAAGCATATGAAAAGATGCTCAACAGCATATACCATTAGAGAATTGCAAATAAAACAATGAGATACTACTTCACACCTATGAGAATGGCTAAAATTAAAAATGCTGACACCAACTACTGGTGAGGATGTTCATCAGCAGGAAATCTCATTCATTGCTGGTGGGAACACAATATGGCCCAACCACTTTGGAAGACAGTGTGGTTTATTAGAAAACTAAATGAACTCTTACCCTACATTCTGACAGCCACACTCCTTACACAAATAAGTTGAAAATTTATGTCCACACAAAAATCTGCAAAGGAATGGTTATAACAACTTTATTCATAATGACTAAAACTTGGAAGCAGGAAAGATGTCCTTCAGTAGATGAATGGATAAATAAGCTATAGTACATCCAGGCAATTGAATATTATTCCCTGCTAAAGAAAAAATGAGCTATCAAGCCATGAGAAGACATGATGGAATTTTCAATGCACGTTACTAAGTAAAAGAAGGCAGTCTGAGAAGCCTACATACTGTATGATTTTAGTTATATGAAATTATGAAAAAGACAAAACTGTGAAGATAGTAAACAGATCAGTGGTTGCCAGAGGTTAGAGAAGAGGGAGGGAGGAATAGGCACAGCACGGAAAATGTTTAGGGCCATGAAACTATTCTGCATGATAATGGTAGATACCGATCATTATACCTTGGTCCAAACCCATAGTATGTACAACACCAGGACTGAAACCTAATGTAATCCATAGACTTCAAGTGATAATAGAGCGTCAATGTAGGTTCATGGATTATAGCAAATGTGTCACTCTAATGTGGAATGTTGATAGTAGGAAATGCTGTGCCAGTGGGGGGACAAAGGATGCAGGGAAACACTGAACTTTCTGCTCAATTTTGCCGTGAGCCTAAAACTGCTCGATAAAAATGAACTATTTTTTTAATGGATGATACCAATTCTGAAGGTGGCATTAAAAAGTCATATATTCCTTAACTATTGTTCCATGTCTTCTTCTCTATGAAAGAGAGCAGAAAGCAGGAATCAATAAGAATCAAGATATATATGTCTGAATAAAAAGTTTATTTAAATTGCTAGTTTAAATATAATCCTTTTTGACATGTTCGTAAAATATCTCATACATATTATATATTTATAAAAAGTCTCATTTTAGCCCATGCTTTATGGTTAAGGATGTTTTCACATATACTAGCTTTCTGAAAATGTTTTCAACAAATTAACTGTGGTTTCTCAGGATCACTTAGTTCTTATATGATAAAGATGAGACTTGAACTCAGGAGCTGTCATATAAAATTTAAATTCAGATACTTTGGGAGGCTGAGGTGGGTGGATCACGAGGTCAGGAGTTCAAGACCAGCTTGACCAACATGGTGAAACCCTGTCTCTACTAAAAATACAAACATTAGCTGGGTGTGGTGGCACGTGCCTGTAATCCCAGCTACTCAGGAGGCTGAGGCAGGAGAATCGCTTGAACCTGGGAGGTGGAGGTTGCAGTGAGCCAAGATCACACCATCGCATTCTAGCCTGGGTGCCAGAATGAGACTCTGTCTCAAAAAAATAAAAAATGAAAAAATAAATAAATAATAAATTCAGAATCTGTTGTATAGCATGGCAGATAATAGGCAAGCAGTAAAATTTCAGTGAACTTGCTAGCTGTCTTTTCATTCTGACTTTTTATATCAAAGTAATTGGTGGACATTTGCTAGTAGATGAAACTAATCTGGATAGCTAAGCTTACTTATTACAGAATATGCTTTTTACATATCTCAGCATTTCCAAATTTCATAAATGTTAATGTTAATTAAATACATACTTTGAAGGAAAAGGAATTCCCTTAGATAGCATATGTTACAGTTCAGCTGTTTTTGAATATTGTGTAAAAGCTTTATAATGACTACACGCTGGAATGTCATATTCTTTCCCAAATTGTTGGTCTGATGCCAACTTGTGTGATTTGCTAGTGTTTGGTTCACATGCCCAGGGAAAATGTCAAATATTTTCTAAATTAAGTTGTTTCAATTATGTAACTACCTCCTTTACCTTAGTATCAGTTTTCTCTGCCATTATACTGAATGTCATATGAGAAAGCTATTTAGTTTTAAAGTCACCTGTATTAGCCAGTTTTCATGATGCTGACGAAGGCATACTCAAGACTGGGCAATTTACAAAAGAAAGAGGTTTAATGGAGAACTCACAGTTCCAAGTGGCTGGGGAAACCTCACAATCATGGTGGAAGGGCAAGGAGGAGTAAGTCGCATTTTACATGGATGACAGCAGGCAAAGAGAGAGCTTGTGCAGGGAAACTCTAGTTTTTAAAACCATCAGATCTTGTGAGACTTATTCACTATCATAAGAAAAACATAGGAGAGACCTGCCTCCATGATTCAATTACCTCCCACCAGGTCCTTCCCACAACACGTGGGAATTCAAGATGAGATTTGGGTAGGGACACAGCCAAATATCATTATCACCACCAATCTTTTAACTATTCAAAATCAAGTCATTCTTTCATGCTTTCAAATTATATACTACGAATTTTTTGTCAGACACAAATATAGCAGAATATATTTTTAAAAAAGTTCCACCGCCACTATATAATTGTAATACAGAGAGATTGATGCCCCATTTATTGAATTACTACTATGTGCCAAGAACAGGTGTATCAGAGGGTACCAGCCAGCTAATTGAGGAAGGTTTGGTTTCCTTTCAAAGATAATATTTTAAAAGGTCTTCATATGGTATAAGAGACCACAAGGGATAGTGCAGAATGCACAAGCTCATTGCAACTGTAATGCTGCAACTGGGCCAAAAAGGATATGACAAAGGAGGAAATCAGAAATCAGAAGGACCCAGTCACATAAAGTCTTACTAGTCAAAATGTGGTTCACAGACTAGCAGTATTGACTTCACCTGGAAGCTACATGGAAAAGAAACAATCTCAGGCCCAACCCTAGACTGGCAGAATAAAACCTATATTTTCATAAATTCCCAAGTTGATTTGAATGCATGTTAATGTTTGACAAATACTAGGGTACAGGATGCCTCTTTGAAATCAGTAACTCTGGGTCAAGAACACAGCCAGCTGAAGGTGATCTCATAGGGAGAAAAACTGGGGAATAAGTATCCTGCCATTACTGTCCTCCATAACTTCCTTGGGTCTCTGTAGGGGTCCTCATTAGCCAAATATAACAGGAAGCAGGGAGTAAAGTGAACTGTTAGTGTGGTTTATGAAGATCCACTGCCCAAGGCAGAGAATTCAAGGGGGCAAAGTAGAAAAGGAATCTGGAATGACAGGTGGAAAAGATCTAGAACAACTAGGCTAGGCATTAAAAATGTAAAGATGAAATACAGTGTCCTCTGACTTCAAATATTCCAAAACATATTTTGCAATTTTTTTTTCTCATAGGCACTCTTAATATTGGAATTGTGACCAAAGGTAATACTATTTTAATACAATGTCCAATAGCCTTTTCATCCTGAAGATACTTAGCACATCCTTTGGTTTTAAATAAAAATATTTTTAAAAATTGTCAGAACTAGGTAACCTAGTTAAGATTATTACATATATTCTCCTGTTCGGCTTCACTTTTAGAATCAGTTTTAATTTTTTCTCTTACCTTTTGGGAGTGAGTCCCTCATTACTGTGTGATTTCTTTTGTCTGGGATCTCCTACTAGATCTGGAGCCTACTAACTTAGATTAAAATCCTATGTATTTTTATCAAGCTAAATAGAAATTTGATAATGTGGTGGCATTTCCCACTGTTTGAACTCAAGGCTATAATCAGTCAGTCTTTCAAAGACTGAATTTACCAGATAACAGCTTTTTAAAAGAACAAAGCATGTTGCACAATTAATCTACTGGTAAACCAAATGTGGTAGAGGTCTTACTAAGAAACTGTGTCCCAGGCTGGGCAGGTGGCTCATGCCTATAATCCCAGCACTTTGGGAGGCTGAGGTGGGCGGATTACCTGAGGTCAGGAGTTCAAGAGACCAGCCATGGAGAAACCCCATCTCTACTAAAAATACAAAAAAATTATCCGGGCATGGTGGCGCATGCCTGTAATCCTAGCTACTCAGGAGGCTGATGCAGGAGAATTGTTTGAACCCGGAAGGCGGAGGTTGCGGTGATCTGAGATTGTGCCATTGTACTCCAGCCTGGGCAACAAGAGCGAAACTCTGTCTCAAAAAAAAAAAAAAAAAAAAAAAAAAAAAAAAAAAAAGTGACCCGTTTACATTGCCTCACATAGTAAAACTTGGCTTTTATACAAACCATCATGGTTGAGGCCAGAGACCGAGGCTCAGTGGGATTTAGGCCTTGAACCCTTCCAAAAATCAGAGATGGTATCTGCACACTCCATACTGCAGAGATTCTACTGTATAGTAGAATATAAACATTAACTTCTGTGTCAATTACTGAGCATAAGACGTATGTCAAAAATTGTAAAAAATGTTTTATCTATATTGCCTTAAAACAATCCTATATGATAGGTACACTTGAGCGTAAGTGATCCTAGAGGGACACCAACAGCATCTATGAGAAACCATCATTGCACAGTTATATCCACTTGCTTAGACTATATACATGTGCTTCTCCCACTAGGCTTATTTCCCTTAGGTCCTACAGCTCCTTGCACATGCATTAGAAGGTATCTGTAGATCTTCTAATGTATATATGTGTATATATAGATACAGATATATGCTTATATCTATATATACATAAATGATTATGGATGTTTGTAACAAAAATGTATTTTTCTCCTTCAAGATGTAATTAGTTTGAATTTTTAATATGTTTTTAGCTCCTTGGGAGTGTTCTTTATATAAGATCTTGCTTGAATTACAGTTCTCTAAAGAATATAGCTATGAATAGAGAGTAGAGAAACTAGGATCCTTATCTTGCATGGCCCTTCAGAGTTATGAAAACTCTCCATTTCTCAGCAACTTTTCCAATAAAATATAAAGTATGAATTATTTTTTCTCCCTTACATCACTTTTGTTCAAAACATGGTTAACAAAAAGGAATACGATATGTGAATCACATTCATGTGGTCAAGGGGGAACTCCACACTTCTCTCTCAGGGATATGTCCAGGTAGGAAAGGCTACCTTACCATTGATTAAGCTCCTTCATGGAGTTAGTATATAAAGAAATAGCTGACTGATTATAAATACTGTTCTAATTTATAGATAAGACACAGATTAATTAAAATGAGTTAAGTTTCCACATTTGCTAAATGAAAAATTTCATTTCTACTTGTGCATTAGAATATTTTGAAATAATATGTACCTCAAACGTTGATTTAAGAGTGTATTTTCTAGAATTAAGATTATGGATTTATACTAATTCTTTCCTCCTTTTTTTCTCATTCCCATTCTGATGAGCTTTCAGCAGCCAGGTGGGGGGTGATACAGCATGCAAGAGTACAGTTATCAGATTAGACAGTGTAAATCATTATGATTGGATTTTAGAGAGTTATCAGTGTTACCCTAAACACAATATCCATCATCACTACTTCCTTGTTTTCTGATCAATTTAAATTATCAGAAAATTGAGGACTATAAAGTAAATAGCATCATATACAAGTGGTAAGGACAAAAATTCAGTTTATGAGTTTTTTTATCTACCCAGAGAAATACTGTTTTATCACGAATAATGGTTAAAAAACAAATTCTAGACAGAAAAGTGAAAAGTTTCTATTTCCCACTTAAAACACATAACAAAGGAGGCTGGGCACGGTGCCTCACGCCTGTAATCCCGGCACTTTGAGAGGCCGAGGCGGACAAATCACAAGGTCAGGAGATCAAGACCGTCCTGGCCAACATGGTGAAACCCCGTCTCTGCTAAAAATACAAAAATTAGCTGGGTGTGGTGGCGGGTGCCTGTAATCTCAGCTACTCAGGAGGCTGAGGCAGGAGAATCGCTTGAACCAGGGAGGCGGATGTTACAGTCAGCCGAGATCGTGCCACTGCACTCTAGCCTGGTGACAGAGCAAGACTGCGTCTCAAAAAAAAACACAAAAAACCAAAAATATATAACAAAGGTAAGATAGTTATGAAGAGGCTAGATCTAATAGCTTCTGATCATAGCACTCCCTTTTCTTAGTGATGCAACCTTGAACAATGCACTGAAAGTTTTAATACTTCCATTGTTTTTACTTGAGTCTCTTGAAAGGCTTTTGTTCATTAAAGACTTTTTAGGCACTTACTTTGTAGCAAGCAACATTCTAGGTATTAGTGACAAGGCAGTAGAAAATCACATTCTCTGCTCTGTGAAGCTACACATTTTAGTGGAGGGAGACATGCCAATAGTTTGTATTATTATCTGTCAGGTGGTAATAAGTGCTATGTTAAGTGTTAGGAAAGGCTTCTCTGATGAGACGATATTTGAGCACGTCTCTCAGCCCAAACCTGTTCACCTGACAGCCTCCTCCATTGCAGGAAATGGAAACTCATTGAGTCATGCAAATGTAAAGGAACAGAGAAGCTTTACTAAAGTTCAGTACAAGTGTTCTGTGTTTTTCACTAGGCATCCTGTATTTTTATTTGCTAGACCTGGCGATCTTCCTTGGAGGCCTACCATGCATTAAGGCCTTGACCGCCACTCTGAGAGATAGAGAGCTATGAAAGCGTTTTGAACGTCCTATTTGAAAAGGATCACCCGGCATGTCTTGTTGCATCTAGTCTATAGGAGACTAAGAACAGAAGAAGGGAAGCAAATTAGAAAACATGGAAGGATGAAAACTTCAACCAAGGTCTTAGTGTACATTTTACAAGTTTAAATGACACAATTTGATAATGGTTTGACTATGAAATTGTGGGACAATAGAGTGGTCAAGGACAGGGTCAGCTATTTCATTGTGAACAATTTGGCCACCAAATTGCCCTCATCTACCTCCTGAATATGCTGCAGTTTTTTATATTAAATGCTGGGTCTTTTGTACCCTATACTCTAAGGCTTTGGCCTTCTTTCTCTTAATTTCCTCCTCAGGATTTTATTATTTGTGTCTAGGTATCTTCCTCTATAGGATGCGAAAGGAGGGAGAAATTGGATTGACAATTACAGAATGCTTTGTGGGCTGTTAATGGTTCATTCTTTGGATACTCCCTTATGTACACACACACACACACACACACACACACACACACACACACACACGTATATATCATAGTACACATAATTTTGTTAAAATTTTTTCCAAAGATGATTTTTATATCTTTAATATAATTGTAGATTTTGTCTAAAAAATAATACAAGAATTTTTATCTAAACATTTTTTACTCCAAATACATTAACCAAGAAAATTACAGTAGCTAATATGAGTTTACTTAAAGTAAGATTTTGTATAAGTAGTAGCTGGAGTTATTTTGAAGACTCTTACATACAATAAAAATTGCAATAGTCTTACCCTCCAGATGCACATTTTACCTAGATAAAGTATTTATGAAAGATTATAAAATCTGTATTATTGAAGTATCATTCAAGTGGTGCTTTCTGTTGAAAATGAAAGTAAAAGCAGCATGGGTATTTGCAATTTATCTATATCAGTGGATCTTTAGATTGGAAATAAACTTGAACACAATTATTATTATTATTATTGTGGATAGTAACTGAAAGATTGAATGCAGATGGAAAACAATAATGAGCTATTGACTTCACAGAAGAAAATGAGAAAGGAGTTGCTGAGGAGGATGGAACATCAAAGGGCTAATGGATTTGGCTGTGAAGCCCAACAAATCTCTGCAAGCCTCTCTTCGATGAGGCCGAGTTTTGTTTATCATTAAAGGAGAAAATCAAAGGCATGAGAGTTCACATCCTGCTATCTGGGGGACTAGCTGAAGATGCCATAGAAAGCTGGGAATACTTCTAATTGCAGCATCTCATGGATCCACCAATGTCTGACATAGGGATGTGGAGAAGCAGTCATGCTTTGCCTCCTTCAAGGATCACAGAAAGAGAGAGGAGAAAGAGAGAGGAAAAAGGAAATGAATAGCAAAGCTGGGATTGTGAGGGGATAGAGTTAGCAGAAAAAGCTTTCAAGGAAACCAATCCCTTAGCATTGCTTAGCTAAAACTTCCCTGACCATTATCCATTATTTCACTTGATACATGTATCTTTTTCTACTTATAAAACTAGCTATTTTTTACCTTACAAATTTCATGGTGTTTTTCTGGGGGAGGGTGTAGGCAGGATTCAGTCTGCATTTATTTTGAAGTGTAAGTTTAAATTCTTTTAAATGACAAATCCTAGCCGGGTGTGGTGGCTCACTCCTGTAATCCTAGCACTTTGGGAGACCAAGGCTGGTGGATCACCTGAGGTCAGGAGTTCGAGACCAGCCTGGCCAACATGACCAAACCCCGTCTCTACTAAAAATACAAAAATTAGCCGGGTGTGGTGGCGGGAGTCTGTAATCCCAGCTACCAGGGAGGCTGAGGCAGGAGAATCACTTGAACTCCTCCAGGAGGCGGAGGTTGCAGTGAGCCAAGATCACGCCATTGTACTCCAGCCTGAGCCGCAGAGTGAAACTCCATCTAAAAATAAATAAATAAATATAGGATGAGTTCATGTCCTTCGTAGGGAGATGGATGAAGCTGGAAACCATCATTCTCAGCAAACTATCGCAAGGACAGAAAACCAAACACCGAATGTTCTCACTCTTAGGTGGGAATTGAACAATGAGAACACTTGGACACAGGAAGGGGAACATCACACACCGGGGCCTGTCATGGGGTGGGGGGAGGGGGGAGGGATAGCATTAGGAGATATACCTAATGTAAATGACCAGTTAATGGGTGCAGCACGCCAACGAGGCACATGCATACGTATGTAACAAACAAACCTGCACGTTGTGCTCATGTACCCTAGAACTTAAAGTATAAAAAAAAAAGAATTGTGCTGCTATAATAAAAAAAAATAAAAATAAAATTTCACTCTTATAATGTTTCTGATGAGAAATGCATCTGTCAATAAAATAAAATATAATACCAGATTATACTTCAGGCATTGTGTGCATGCAGGATTTAATTAATCTTCACAATGATCTTAATATGGAAATCCGAGCTAGATTTTTACATTTCACTTTGAGGAAGCAGAATCCCAGAGAGTTTAGAAATTTTCTTAAGATTACTTAACTAATGGATGGCAGAGCTGAGATTTATGCTCAGGACCACCTGACTCTAAAACCTATGCAGTTTCTAAAGGGCTGCATTGCCTATTGAGAGGCACATAAATTATATTTATGTTGTACAGGATGACCATATAATTTACCTTCTCAAGTGAGTTACTTTTGCCTAAGACAAATAGTAAATAGGACAAGAGGTAAAAACCAAGACTGTCCCAGACAATGGGGGCGTGCAGTCAACCTAATTGTGCGTAATGAATGTGTTATTGAGTGAGATCATATAATATACCTACCTGTAGGGTTCTTCTTGAGAATCTGAAATATTACCTAATCTGAATTTATAAAATGTAGACTTGCATCCAATTTGCAGGAATTATTCATCACAAATGGCTGATTTCCTGCCTTTACTCAGATTTGTGTAAGTGACTCAATTATAATCAAGAAACAGCAGAGCAGAGCACGCAAAGTAACTATGCAATCACCAATATGGATCTCAAGCTCTGATGGGATGCTTCTCTGATATTAAATGCAAGCTGAAAAGAGGACAGAGAGTAAATGAAGGATTTGCACTTCACCATTTCTGACAAACTAATAGTACATTTTCTTTATTTCACAGGATCAGTTCCCCAAATTACTACCTTGGCATATGTAGGTATTCTGGAAATATATCAGTGTGAGAATAATAAATAAGCACTGATAGGGAACAATGTGTATTGGTCAGAGTTCTCCATAGAGACAGAATCAATTGGATGTGTACATTTAGACATAGATGATACGGATAGTGATGATACAGATAGAGATAGAGATATGAGAAGGAATTTATTAGGAGAATTGGCTGACATGATTATGGAGGCTGACAAATCTCACAATGGGCCATCTGCAAACTAGAGACCCAGGGATGCTTGTATCATGGCTCAGTCCGAGTCTAAAAGCCTCAGAACTAGGGAAGGCGATAGTGTAATGCTCAGTTTGAGACTGAAGGCCTGAGAGCCTGGGGATGGGGGAAACTGGTATAAAAGTCTGTAATTCTTATGTCAAAGAGCAGGAGAGAGACAAGAAATTACCTTTTCTCTCTCTTTTTTGTTACATTAGGCCCTAGCTGATTGGATGGTGCCTGCCCATATTCATGGTTGGTCTTCCCCACTCAGTCCACTGACTCTAACGCCAATCTCCTCTGGAAACACCCTCACAGACACACCAGGAGAGAATGCTTTGCCAGTTCTCTAAGCAACCCTTAATCCATTTACGTTGACTCCTAAAATTATCCTCACACAATGCAACTACAAAGGCTTTAATGTGTAGGAGAAACAAGGCTCATCAATAGTAAAAGTGATCATTAGCGAATGGATATTTCGCTGTTCTTCTTTTGGTGGCATCATATAGGAGAGCTTGGAAAGCTATGGCTGTCTAGCATCAAGTCTCAGATTTCCATCTTTTTCATGTGCTTGGAGAATGTCACCTTCCTTCTCTGGATCTCTATAAAATGAGGCATTCATTCAGTAAGGTAAGAGAGAACAATCTAGAAAACAGATTGGCTAGACTACCCTGATCCCTACTCACCTATCCAAGGCCCCAAGAAAGGAAGACTTTTTCACTCCATGGTTTCTTCTGTATCAGATACCCACTAAAAGGCACAGCAATGTGAGTAAGATATGATTCACTAACTATAATGATTGGCAAAGATCCAGCAATAGTACCCAAGGCAAATTATACTGGCTTGGATTTATAAATTATACAACATCCTCAAAACATCCTTTCTTTGAATAGAGTAGAAAGAAGAAAGTCCTTCTTGCCAAAGGCAATCTGCCTTGAGACATTCCATAGTACTGCCAATATCCAAACCAAAACTAGACTTGTAGGTACGTCTCCTTGCAGCAACCCATGCCATATCAATACAGTAGATGGTCTGTAAGCTGTCTCATACCTTGCAGGCCTTCTTTAGTGGTGATTTTGTTTTTTTTTTTGAGATGGAGTCTTACTCTATTACCCAGGCTGGAGTGCAGTGGCACAATCTTGGCTCACTGCAACCTGCGCTTCCTGGGTTCAAACAATTCTCCTGCCTCAGCCTCCCAAGTAGCTGGGATTATAGGTGACCGCCACCATGCCTGGCTAATTTTTGTATTTTTAATAGAGATGGGATTTCAGCATGTTGGCCAGGCTGGTCTCAAACTACTGACCTCAGGTGATCTGCCCGCCTCAGCCTCACAAAGTGCTGAAATTACAGGCGTGAGCAACCTCACAGGCTAGTGGCAACTTTTAGTGTCTTTAAAGTGAATTGGTGTTAGACTATGAAAAATCAATCTGCCCTTCTGATACCTTTGGGGGTGTTCTTTTAGGACCTACAAGATAGGTTCTGTGATAAGCAATGTTATGGCCCAAGAGGATTTCACAGTGGGAATTTGAGGATCTATTATGCCTGCAAATATATTATCATAAATGGCAAACAATGGCTCATACGTATAATCCCAGCACTTTGGGAGGCTGAGGAGTGTGGATTGCCTGAACTCAGGGGTTTGAGACCAGCCTGGCCAACATGGTGACACCCCATCTCTACTAAAAATACAAAAATTAGCTGGGCATGGTGGCACAGGCCTGTAGTCCCAGCTACGAGGGAGGCTGTGGCAGGAGAATTGCTTGAACCCAGGAGGCAGAGGTTGCAGTGGGCCAAGATCGAGCCACTGCACTCTAACCTGGGTGACAGAGTGAGACTCCTCTGTCTCAAAGAAAAAAAAAGGCAAACAATAATTTGCATATGTAATTAAGGGTACTAATCAGATGTCCTAAGGAAAAAAGAGATTATTCTGAATTATTTCAGAGGCACCAATGATCACATAATCTCTTAAGAGCAGAGAATATTCTTTGGCTTGTAACAGAAGAGGAAGGCAGAAGGAGAAGATTAATCCAGAGAGATTCAAAACATGAGAAGGATTTGATGCTCTCTTGGGTCAAAGCATGAAAAGGATTTGAAGGTGGGGGGGCCCTGAAACCTCAGTTCAACAATCACAAGGAATTGAAATCTGCCGAAAACATGAGTGTGAGCTTGAAAGTGTGTTCTTCCCTAAAGGCCTCCAGAGAAGTACCCAGATGGCAGACACTTTAATTTTGGCCCTGTAAGATTCTAAGCAAAGAAATCAGCTTAGCCACACTCTGCCTGGATTTCTGACCTATGGAAAGTATGAGGTAATAAATCTGTGCTGTTTAAACTGCTAAATTTGTGGTAATGTTATAACAGCATTAGGAAACTAATACAGGTTTTTGCCATTGCCATTTAACCTACAGAAAATTGAGGCTCAGGGAAGTTAAATATATTACAAATGTAGCTTGCAATGTCCGCCTAGTATCATGGATCATATCCAGATCTGCTGACACCCACATTTGAATTCTTGTGATCATAGCAGTAGTTCTCAAACTTTAGCATGGATCAGAACCCCGTGGATGGCTTTTGAATGTGCAGATAGATTTCTGGCTGTCATCTCCAGAGTTTCTGATTCAGTAAGTCTTGAGTATGGCTAAATACTTTGCATTTCTATGTTCCCAGATGATGCTGCTACTGCATCTCTGAAAATCTCACTTTGAGAACCACTAGTTTACAGGATGTGACTGTTCTTAATTGCACTGTTATTCTTTGGAAAGGGCTTATTGTCTGTAGTGTAGAGGACATGAGAGTTATATTATGATTCCTTGAGCCCACTTGCTCATTCTTGCTTGAGAAATGGAAGCAAAACCCTTGCAGCATCTGCCTAAACTGCTTTTGAGAGAAAGTTCGATGAAAATCATTTGTCCTATCTTGTGGCAAAAATGTTAGCCACACACCCACCTGTATTCGATTTCACTCAAATTTAGCAAACAAAGATTTTCTGTTCATCTCATCTGGTATTTTTAAACCTTTAGCACATATTGAGTCCCCATTGTCAAGAACTTAGGAATTAAAAAGTCAACAGACAAACAACAGAAAATCTGTGCCTCGGAAATTGCCCAAGAAAAGCAGTTTCAACAAGGCAGCCATGTCCTATAGGATATGGGAATAAACAAATTGTTTTACAGAAAAGGAAAACTGGAGTTGGATATATCTTAAGGCAAGCAGAAAAAATATTTTCATTTTTTAGGTAAGGAAAGTAAAACAAATGATGCTTTATATTTCATCGAAAGCATACCCCCTTGACTAAATTCTTTTTAATAACATGAATTTTCATTTTTTAACCAATTTATTGAGGTGTAGTTTACTTACCATAAAGTACACTAATTTCAAGTGTATAATTTGAGGATTTGGGAGCATATTTACTGAGTTGTAGCCATCAGCATAACCCAGTTTTAGATTTGTATCATCTCAACAAACTCCCTCATGCTGGTTTATTGATAATCTTCATTCTCATCTGTAGTCCCTAAAAAAACAATAATTTACTTTCTGTCTCTATAGATTTGCCTTTTGTGGATATTTCATATCAATGGAATTATATTGTATGTGTTCTTTTGTGTCTGGATTCTTTCCCAGAGCACAATGTTTTCACGGTTCATCCATGTTGCAGCATCTATCAGCATTTTATTCTTTTTTTTTCTTTTATCATTTCTGATGAGTATTCCCAATTAATTTTTAAAAATATAATACTGGGGCCAGGTGCAGTGGCTCACATGTGTAATCCCAGCACTTTGGGAGGCTGAGGCAGGCAGATCACCTGAGTCAGGAGTTTGAGACCAGTCTGACTAACATGGTGAAACCCCGTCTCTACTAAAAATACAAAAAATTAGCCGGCGTCGTGGCACGCACCTGTAATCCCAGGTACTTGGGAGGCTGAGGCAGGATAATTGCTTGAACCTGGGCAAGGGAGGTTGCAATGAGCTGAGATCATGCCACTGCACTCCAGCTTGGGTGACAGAGTGAGACTCTGTCTTAAAAAAAAAAAAATATATATATATATATATACACATACAGACACACACACATATATATACACATATATACACATATATATATACACACACATATGTATATATACATTTTGTGAGCTAGCATGAGTCTAACACTCCAGACTCAGGAATTTGTCTCTGCACTTTAGTCTCTCTGCTTTTGCTGTTCTGGAATTCTATTTCTGAACTTCCCCTAATTTTTATTTTTTTGGGGGGAACAGAGTCTTGCTCTGTCACCCAGGCTGGAGTGCAGTAGCAACCTCTGCCTTCCAGGCTCAAGCTGTTCTCCCACCTAAGCCTCCCAAGTAGCTAGGGCTACAAGCACATGCCACCATGCCTAGCTAATTTTTGGTATTTTAGTAGACACAGGGTTTTGCCATGTTGCCCAGGCTGGTCTTGAACTCCTGAGCTCGCCTCAAACTCCCTCTCTTTTTTTTAATGCTCACTGCACTTGCAATTATTAGTTTAAAATCTGTACCTCTGTATTAGTGTCAGTTTTCTGGTTATGATATTCTACCATAGTTTGGTAAAATGTTACTATTGGAGTAAACTGGGAAAAGTGTACACAGAATCCTTTGTATTATTTTTTACAACTGCATGTATATGCAAAGATTTCTCATTAAAAATTTCAATTGAAAACAAAGAAACAAAACCTGTAATCCCTACTATTTAGACATGGTGAGTCAGGGACTGCATGGGTCTTGCTCATTGCTATATCTTTTCTGTTTGGCCTGGCACTTTGGAAAAGTTGTAGCTGAATTAAAGTTCGTAGAACAAAATAAATCCATAAATACTGGTATCCAAGAGCACATAGCTAGTTAGTGCCAGAGATGATTCAACTGTCATCTGGTTCCAATGATCTTGGTCTTTTGCTATAATTCCCTTTCTAGGCATAGATTTTTATTTAAAAAAAATCATTTGTTCATTTATTTTTCACAAATATGTACCAGATTCTCTAACTGACCTGCGATGTATTGGCAAACAGGATAGAGATTGGATTTATAGGGATTTATAATCCGATTGGAGAACCACAGCAAACTTATTATATGCTGCTAAGACACTGATAAAAACTTAAATTAGTGCAGTGAGGAAAAGAAGATAGAGTAAACGAAAGTGAATATCAAAGGAACTGACCTAGACTGAGAGGTGAGGAAAAGATTCCTGGAGTGTGAGACAACTTAAGTTAGCTCTGAATTCTGAGTACGACTTAGCTTTCAAGACAGAAGGAATACGGCCGGCACAGTGGCTCAGACCTGTAATCCCAGCACTTTGATAGGCCGAGGTGGGTGGATCACCTGAGGTCAGGAGTTTGAGACCAGCCTGGGCAAAATGGTGAAACTCCGTCTCTACTAAAAAAAAAAAAAAAAAAAATACAAAAATTAGCTGGGTGTGGTGGCCTGTAATCCCAGCTACTTGGGAGGCTGAGACAGGGGAATGGCTTAAACCTGGGAAGCGGAGGTTGCAGTGAGCCGAGATCGCACCATTGCACTCCATCCTGGGCAACAGAGTGAGACTCTATCTCAAAAAAAAAAAAAAAAAAAAAAAAAGACAGAGGAATAGCATGTGCAAGGACTTTCTGACAGGGGGAAACAAAGTGCATCCAAGAAACAGAAAGCCACTGGGGCTGCTACACAAATGGAAAGGGGAGATGACTGCTAGATTATAGCAGGACCTCAGGAGCTCTGCTAATTAAGAAGCTGGTCTTTAGACTGAGAGCTATGAAGCAATGACTGTTTAAAAACCATGATGAGGCCGGGCGCAGTGGCTCACGCCAGTAATCACAGCACTTTGAGAGGCCTAGGCGGGTTGATTACCTGAGGTCAGGAGTTCAAGACCAGCCTGGCCAACAAGGTGAAACCCTGTCTCGACTAAAAATAAAAAATTGGCCGGGTGTGGTAACACGCGCCTAGTCCCAGCTACTCGGGAGGCTGAGGCAGGAGAATTGCTTGAACCTGGGAGGTGGAGGTTGCAGTGAGCTGAGATGGTGCCACTGCACTCCAGCCAGGGCTACAGATTGAGACTCCGTCTCAAAAAAAAATAAAATAAAATAAAACAAAAACGCCGGGAGCGGTGGCTCACGCCTGTAATCCGCAGCACTTCGGATGGCCAAGGCGGGTGGATCACCTGAGGTCAGGAGTTTGAGACCAGCCTGACCAACATGGAGAAACCCCGTCTCTACTAAAAATACAAAATTAGCCAGGCATGGTGGCGCATGCGTGTAATCCCAGCTCCTCAGGAGGCTGAGACAGGAGAATTGCTTGAACCCAGGAAGCAGAGGTTGCCGTGAGCTGAGATCACGTCATTGCACTCCAGTCTGGGCAACAAGAGAGAACCTCCATCTCAAAAACAAAAAAACAAAAAAACCCAAGACAAAACAAAACAAAACAAAAAACCGAACAAACAAACAAAATGATGACGGCTTCATACTGTGTTATTCCAATGATATGTTATTCTGGAAAAGGCAAAATTAAATTATGACGACAGTAACACATCAGTGGTTGTCAAGGGTTAGAGGAGACTGAGGGATGAATAGGTGGAGCACAGAGGATTTTTAGAGCCAAGAAACTACTTGGTATGATGCTATAATCGTGGACTCAAAACACATAGAAGGTGCAACAGCAAGAGTGAATCCTTATATGAACTATGGACTTTGGGTGGTAATGATGTGTCAATGTGAGTTAATCAGTTGTAACAGATGAACCACTCTGGTTTGGGATGTTGATAGTGGAGGAGGCTGTACAAGTGTCAGAGAGGGGATATATGGGAATTGCCTGAACTTCCCACTCAATTTTGCTATGAACCTAAAACTGCCCTAAAAAAATTAAGTCTATTAAAAGGACAATATAATATGATGAAGAATGTTTTACGTAATTAGTTTTATATTTATAGAGGGCCACTGTGGTTTCTGTAGATAATGTAATGGGATGGAAGAGTAAGGGTGAATGCACGAATGTATTTACATGCAATTGCAGTGGTCTAGGTGAAAGATAATGATGGCTTTGATGGACCAGTGGTTCTCAACCATAGAATCTGGTTTATATTCAGATTTTTATGCTAACTGAAGGTTATCTCAAAGTCACTTTGTTGGATGATGTGTTGTTGGCTCAGTTCTTCTCAGAATGGGGCTCCCAAGTCTCATCTTGTCCCAATTGTTCCAATTTTGCCTTCTGGATCTGCCACAGTGACATATAATGCTATATATCTGGAAAGCATAGCTTTTCAAACCAGGCAGACCTAAATTCAAATTACATTTCCACCTCTAACTAGCTTTGTAGCATGAGCTAGTTACTTAATTTCTCTGGACCTCAGAATTCTCAGGGATACTACGATCTAAGTCATGACTTTACTGTAAATCAAGATTGAATAAAAATGTATACAGCACAGTGTCTGTTATCTCAAAGTTTGTTACCAAATATTGGTTGAATTTTAAAATAATAACAATAGCTGGTAAAACAGGTATACTATATATGACTCTAATTTTGCCTGTACTCTTTCTAAGATCTTTTGGTATCAGAGTACTGCCTAGAAAAAAACTTGAAGGTAAATAAATATGTATTGGAGCTAAAGAACAGAATTTTAAAATTAAGTATGCATTTTCAAGCAGAGAAACAATAAATTTCAAAATGCCCATTTTAATCCTCATTAATAGGCTCATAATAGACGTTTTAGGAGGAGGTAATGTGGAAGAAAATCTCACCATAGGTATATTCATCATAACAATTAGATCTGAAGATTCAGTTCACGTCTCTAATTATAAATGAATGCCACACATTAAACAAAGACACTGTGGAGTTCACACTTCCTTAATTATAGGTTCATGGGGATGCTAGGTTTGACCACGCGAATTTCATTTTCATCGCTATGTGCTGACATTCTCCTGTAACCTCACGGTAGGTAAGTTTTCTTCCTAGTCATGTACTTTGTGACAGGTTAGCAACAATTCCAACTTCATGCTCCATTTTCTCTGCCTACTGAGGCAATTTGCTATCCATGCACTTTGTTATTTCCTCCACTTTGTGACTCCGACCTGTAAGGTGTTTCATGATGGGAACTGCACTTTGAATACCAACACTTCAATTGCTCTCCCAGCTGAATACTATCTATGCCACTTTAAAAGGAGGATTTTAATATATAGGTCACCCTCTTACATTAAATAGCTGGTCAAGACTATAGCCTGAGTTGTTTAAAAAAATGTATCTCATTGTACTTCCCAGGCTTTTGGCATTTTACCATTATCATACCCAAGGTCCCTGTGATCTGGCCTCTGCCCACCTCTCAAGGCTAATCTCCTGCCACTGCCTTGATATTCGTGATGGGGGATATTAAACTGTGTGACATGCCCTAAATTCTCGATGCCATTTTGCTCTTCTGTTCCCTTTGCAGAGGCCATTTTTTTTTTCTGCCTGTAAGAATCAGCTCTTTCCCTCTTGTCTACTTGCTTAACAACTTCTCTTCTTCCAAGATCCCATCTGAGTATCTCCTCCACTGGGTGGCCTTCATGATTCTTTTCTTTGTACTGCTTCCCTCTCAGCTGCAATCAAGTTCTCTTTATATTTCTCTGGGTCTCTGGGCATCACTCTATCATACAATGCACTGCATTGAATTGAAACTATTGGTTTATAAATGTCTTTCTTCATCTGGACAGTGAATTATTGAGTCCATGTCTAATGTATACCTACATCTCCAACACCTCTCTCTCATGCATACCTACGTCTCCAACACCTGTAAGAGAGAGGGATCTCCTCTGACCAGAGCATTAAAGATCAACTGCAGCTCTTCCCTTGAGCATAGGTGTTTGCTTTATTTACATTAGTGCCCAGTTATCCATAGAGCATAGTCAAGATATTAAATGCTTATTGAAATGATTAATGTGTTAGAATAAAGCAAAGGAAGCAATGTCACTAATCATTTATTTTACCCTGTTGTGGGTACTATGTTATGTGTTGAGCACACAAAATGATCTAGTATAAGCCTTGCCTCTAGATACCTAAAATCTAGAGGAAGAGAGAGATATATAAATAGACCATCATAATTCTGTAATGTAGGTAAGTGATATGGTTTGGATCTGTGTCCCCACCAAATCTTATGTCAAATTGTAATCCCCAGTGTTGGAGGTGGGGTCTGGTGGGAGGTGATTGGATCATGGAAGTGGATTTCTCATGAATGCTTTAGCACCATCCTCCTTGGTACTGTCCTCGTGATAGTGAGTGAGTTCTCATGGGATCTGGTCATTTAAAAGTGTGTGGCACCTCGCCCTCTCACTCTCTCTTGCTCTTGCTCCTGCCATGTGAGACATTTCACTCCCACTTTGACTCCTACCATGATTAGAAGCTTCCTGAGGCCTCCCCCAAAGTAGAAGTTACCATGCTTCCTGTACAGCCTGCAGAACCGTGTGCCAATTCAACATCTTTTCTTTATATATCACCTGGTCTCAGGTATTTCTTTATAGCAATGTGAGAACAAACTAATATAGTAAGTACAGGCTATAAGTGAGGCCGGAGAAAGACATCTAAATCCGATTACTGCCAGATCAAGAAAGGTACCCTAGGGGGAAATAAATAAGCACTGAATTTTTATTGTCATTACTATTAATTTCATTTAAATAACATTAAATAATTATTTTTTCTTTACTGACATATTGGTTGTCTACCATAAAACAACTTCTTTACATGCATCATCTTATCTCTTGCAACAATGTTAGGAAGTGAGTACTGTTATTGTTATTTTATAGAACGGATGCTAAGGCACAGGGAAGTTATGAACCTGTCCCTAGGTCACACTGCTAAAAAGTGATAGAACTGGCATTAGAACATGGGTCTTTTGTGATGCTAAAGGCACCTCTTGAATTATCCTGCTACAAAGATTCCCCTCGCTATGATGGAATAAACTGAGCAGGGAAAGAAGAAAGAGATGGACATACCAAAAGCGAGGGAATCATTTTGGAGGTGAAGGAGCATGCTGTATTTTTGGAAACTGTAAGTTTAGGGCTGTAAGTTCAGGTGTGCAAGAGAGTACAGATCCCAAAAGAAGTGAAAGAAGAAAAATAAATTAGGTTTATTCTCAATTCCTGCCCTTTCCAGTCTCTCTACTCCCAAGGGGCAGCCCTTGCATTCCCAAGGGTAGCAAAATGTAGTGGACAGCGCTGAAGAAAATAACTATTGGTTTTCTTATCTAGGAAGTACCACATTGTTCAGAAGTACTGGAGAATGACAAAGTACGGACCCTTCATCTTCCTCCTTTGCTGAGGCTAAAAGGAAAGAATAAATAACAGTTGAAAGAAAAGATCAATGAAGGCCTTGACTGCAATAAAAGATAGAAAGTTCCTGGCAAAGGGAAACCATAAATGCTATAGAACCTCATTCTTCATCCTTTGAACTGAAGGTCTCCTCTGGCCGGACCATTAAAGATCGACTGCAGCTCTTCCCTTGAGCATAGGTGTTTGCCTTACTTATATTAGTGCCCAGCTATGCAGGGTGGCATTGAAAACCTGTCTGCAAATACGGTGGAGGCTTTCTTGATGGCTAATCCATAAAGTTTGCAAAAGTTACATTTATCTCTCAAGACTCATGCGGTTGATATTATACACAGTAGGGCATTTACTCACTCCTTCTTCCATTAGTAACAACATCTAATATAGCAAGTTGGTGGAGACCAACGTGCTCAGGACACCCGTCCAATTGCTTTCCTGCCTTTCACTAGTGATGGATGGAAGTGATTGAGTTTTTCATCCTGAGCTGCTGAGCTCCTGTAGATTGTGCTGTGAGATGACAGGGCTACTACCAGAGCTATTTCTTGAGCGTGATGAAGTGACATAGTTTTAAGCTGGGTCCGGGAGTGCCTTAGGAATTTGGAAGAGCCTTCTGGGGTCCATCATGGATAAACTGGGTAGATGGAGGCTGTGCACTGGAGAACTCTCACATTTTCAGTTTGTAATCCTACATATGCTTTTCAAAAGAGAGAATGATCTGTTCAAGTAAAAGAACTAAAAATCTCCTAGTGAGTGAAGACAGATGACCTTGGAGACCGGGGACCTCTGTTAAAAATTTGCACAACCATTAACAGGACTGGTCCTGAATCTAAGTTGCTTCTCTTCCTTTGAACTTTATTAGCATTATCTCTAAAATAATCATGAAAATGCAACATGTTATCAAGTTTGGAGGAGTCTTAGGATGGTCAAATGAGATCTCATAAATAAAAGCACCATATTAAGTGCAGGCTGCTGAGGAGCTGTTAGTAAAGCTAGTTACTACTTCTAAATACTACAGTTTCTATGCAAAGCTTATTATATTTGATCTCTCTTGACTGACCCAGCCATCCTATGAGATAAGTAAACTAGTAAAGACAGTTTACTCTGCCTTGTCTTGATTTTCTTAATCGTGAGTCATCACAACATATATAGCAGAAGTCAAAGACAAGGATTTATGTGCAAATAATTTATTAAAGGAATTGTTCCCAAAGGAAATCAGTAAGAAACTAGAAGAAACGGGCTAGGGAAGGAAGGGAGCTAAGCAGGGGAATGATTTCAGATAAAATCCTGAAAAGTGTAGCTTCATCCTACAGACATAAATTAGACCTTAGAGTTGTCCTATCTGAGGAAGCTGATATTTTCATATTTTGATTTTCATCAGTCTTTGGTTAAAGGTACCTACTCCTTCTGCCCATATATTTCCATTTCAGAGATGGCAATTATTTTTTAATGGATGAGTAAATATTTATTGAACATTGTTTATGTTGCAGATGCTGTTCTAGATCTGTTCACAGTGGTGAAAATGACAGGCTTCCTCATGGGACAGATAATTAACCAATAAACAGATACATATTTGTTTTCAGGAAATAAGTGATATGAGCTTATGAGTTTAAAGAGGGTAAGAGGAAAGAAAAATACTAGTGGTAGGGAGAGGGTGATATTTGTGGTACATCAGTTATCCCCCTTCCTGTCTAGACTTATGACAGATATTCACACCTCCACATCCATTAAGATGAGTCGAAGTCTCAATCTTTTTCAACAAATAATCTCACTTTTAGGGTTCTTATAGAATGATTCTTGCAACGAGTGCTGTATTAGACAAAATGATGTAAGAAGAGTTTGCTTTTGATTTTCTTTTCAAAAGGAAATAGATATATTATGTTTTATTCTTTAGTTTTATCCAGCACCAGTCCTGAACCTATTTTACCTTCATTTCATTCCCCAACTTTCCCCTGCTCTGCTGGGCACAGCAGATGAGCTGAACCTTGAATGTTATAAGGATCCTGCATTAGATAGATTCTGGTTGGTTCAACCAGAGAGACAGGGTGACTGCAGGGCTAGAGGAAGGGAGAAATAAGTAGTTTTCCCTAGTCTTCTGCTTCAGGAAACAACTCTAGCAGCAGCTGTACCTCCTCTGCATCTCCAGATCCTGCTAGAATGAGCTGTGGTTCCAGTGTGCATCATGGGACCCAGGCCGTGGGCTTTGCTAATTCCACTTCCTCCTTCCTTTGTTTCTCCAGCCTATGGAATGATGGTAGTGGTTTCTTGTTGCTGATATCTGGGTTGTCTCATTTTCCTTTGTTGGCTTATCTCTTCCACCACCTATGACACAAATTGTCTATACTGAATCTCCTCTTTTTTACTGGTTTGACCCTTACTATGGTAGCCAATGTTGGGACTCAGAAAACAACACACCCCAAAATGAAGGCCTCAGAAGCAGCCTCAGAAGCAACAATTTTTTTCTGCCCTCCTCCTTTCCTCTCTCAGTCCCATTTTCCCCCAAAGCTACCCATAAAACCTGGAATCATTCTTCCCCAAGGTAGGTCATAGAAACCAGAACCTCTTTCTCCCAAAGCCAGCCAAAAAGCCTAAAAACATTACGCTAACTTTCCTCCACCTTTCTCTTTAGAAACTGGCCATAAAGAAATTATCTTACCTATACCTTGTTTGACTGAGGTCATAAGAACCTCCATTCAAGAGAGGGTCCTGCCCCATACCCAGAAGAAAGAAATCCATGCTCAGAGAGGTCAAGAAGAGGCTAGACGGGCAGGCCTCACTGGGTTTCCCACCTCCGTCTATTAACATTAGATCAGACCCCTTTTGTCCAATTATATTTCTTCACAGCTGTCCATACTTTATTGAACCTAAGCATTAAAACAGGCAATTTTCCCTGTATCTTTGAGTTTTCATTCTGAAGGTTCTCATGCATGTGCACTAAATAAATTTGTATCCCTTTTCTCCAATTAGACTGTCTTTTGTGAGTTGACTTTTCAGTGAACCTTCACAGGGCAAAGGGGTAATTTTTCCTTGGCTCCTACACCAGAGTCCAGAGGGACACCAATGAGCCTCACCTCCTTGTGCAGTCTCCTCCCACATGGAAATATGGCTGGCCTGTATGGCCAAGAGAAGTAATGAGTATCATTTCTGAAGCTGGGTCCAAATAGTAATTGTGGTTTCAACCTTTGTCTCTCTAAGATTACCTTCTCTGGGGAAAGACAGTTGAGGGTCACGAGAACACTCAAACAGACTATAGAAAGTCCAATGTGGGAAGAAACTGAATTCACTTGCTAAAAAACAGCCCCAAATTGCCATCCATGTGAGTGAGCTACCTTGGAAGCAGATCTTCCCATCCTAGTCAAGCATTCGGAGACTGAAGCTCCAGCCAACATCCTGAGGTCAACCTCATGAGAGACCCTGAGCCACTTTTAAGCTCCCAACCCATTGAAACTGTGATAAGTGATTATTTTGTTTCAAGTCTTTTTGCTTTGGGGTAATTTATTACATAGCGATAGGTAACTAATGTACTTACTAATCAGTGCCCTAAAATTGTGGACTTAAGGATGTCAGAGAAGTAGACAAACATCAGTGGAAAATATAAAATATTCCAAATGTGTCCTTGTCACCAAATTTCTCAAGTCTGTCCACAGAAAGGAAATTCTATACTGGACAAGAGTATGGCTGTAGAGTTAAAAGGGCTTAAATTTAAGTCTCTGCTTTATCTCTTGTCAGCTTTGCTTCTAAGGAAGTTTATTAACTTCTCAAACACTCAATCTTTACTATTATAAAATGGGAAAAATAAATTCTCATAATAACCCCCAGGAGTTAGGTTCTATGTGATGGAGAAAAAAGAAAACAAACTTTGCACAATACAAGTGCATAATAAATATTCACCATTATTTTTGGTTTTGTTATATTCTGAGTCTTCTGTGTGAACCTGAATCTCAGTGTCTACATCTATAAAATAGGAACCATAATACCTACCTTTCTGAGTTGCCATTGGGTTAGATTTCCAAATCCGTGGTAGTAAGGAAGTGGTCATCTCCAGTCTTTGCTGAGCAAGGCTATTCCTCAGTGTGTGGAATAGATGAACAAAAGTGAACAGGGAATTTCATGCAGCAATTTCATGAATTTTCCAGATAAACAAAGATAGACAGGGAATGATTTGGGGATATCCTAGCATGAAATCATCCTCACCCTGGTAAAAATCCCAAATCATCTAACTCTTGCAAGCAACCTCAGCGAAACTTTGTAAGGTGGAATCCTGACCAAAACTTTATAAGTTAGAGCTCTCACTAAAACTGTGTAAAGTAGAAAACTCTAGGCAGGGAACCCTAAATTGTGCTCAGTGCTAACTACATAAACTTTATTAAATTCATGATATTATATGCATATTATAGAAGTTGAATTTGAGGTTCAGTTTAAACAGTTTATGAAAGATTACACACTAAGAAGAGTGGAACCAATACTCAAAGCTTTGCTATGTATTTCATACCACAAAACTTCCCACACAGGTGAATATCCCAGAATTAGTTTAACTCAGTATTTTAAGAGCTCAGGCATTTAAAATAGATATTGCTATCATTTTTTCTAGTAAACATTCAAATCTATAATCAAATAAATGAAAATGCTCCTGCCCTGGAATTCTTTGTTTTGATTTATTTTACTGTTTACCAAAATAAATAAATAAATAAATAAAATAAATAAAAAATAAAAGACTTGATAAAGATTTCTCAACATTAGCTCAGCCATTCCCAATTCTGTTGTAATTACCCTTCCTTCCTTTCCTCCCTCCCTCTCTCTCTCTTTCCTTCCTTCCTTCCTTCTTTTCTTTTCTTTTCTTTTCTTTCTTTCTTCCTTTCTTTCTTTCCTTTCTTTCTCTCTTTCCTTTCTTTCTTTCTTCCTTTCTTTCTTTGTCTCTCCTTCCTTCCTTTCTTTCTCTCTCTTTCTTTCTTAATTTCCTTCCTTCCTTCCTCTTCTCTCCCCTTCCTTCCTTTCTTCTTTCTTTCTTTCTTCTTCTTTCTCTTTCTTTCTTTCTTTCTTAATTTCCTTCCTTCCTTCGTCTCCTCTCCCCTTCCTTTCTTCCTTCCTTCCTTCCTTTCTTTCTCTCTCTCTCCCTTTCTTTCCTTCCTTCCTTCCTTCCGTCTGTCTGTCTGTCTGTCTTTCTTTCTTTTTTCTTTCTTTCTTTCTTTCTTTCTTTCTTTCTTTCTTTCTTTCTTTCTTTCTCTTTCTTTCTCTCTCTCTCTCTCATTCTTTCTCTCTCTCTTTCTTTCTCTTTTCTTAATTTTTTTTCCTTCTCTATGTGAACATTGAGTATTTGATGAGTCTGCAAAGTATCTGATAAAAGCAGAACTCCTGAAGAAACTGATGCTGCAATTGAGAAAGAAAATTAACATGCAACTACAGGCGAATGTAAGACTGCAGGATATTAACAATAGTGTAAAGTCTGGGGTCAGACTCAGGGAAGTCTGAATGCTGCCACCTCCACTCACTAGTTGTGTGACTCTGATCAAGTTCTCTAAACTTCAGAGTTAACAATAGTGCCTACCCATAGGATTGTTGGGTAGATTAAATTATATAATCCGTGCAAAAAGTACAGTATTGAGATGTGAAATAGCTTGTAATAGCTAACATTATAACATTTTTCTAAGTAATATAATAGTGGTATGCAGAATCATTACCTTTCTTTCTTTTAGAGAAGTTTTAAAATAACTGGGGAACTATTCTTGAGTAATAAAACTAAGGACTAAAACTGGAGCAGCAAAGCAGTGGGTTCATTACAATAACAGCATGGCTTTCCTGAAACTCTAGGCAGGGAACCCTAAATTGTGCTCAGTGCTAACTGCATATATTACTGGAATTACATTACAATTAGATTGACACTGTAGCTAATGTCTCCAGTCACTGTGCTGGGTACTGAGTCATTTCCAGCTCTTGACTGATTTCCATCGTGGCCTACACTGGCTCAGTGGAATAGGAAAATCACACTTTAGGGACTTAGAAAGTGTGTGTGACTGCCAGAAATCAAACCGCCAGTTGATTGCAATATTTGTTTTTTAAAAAGATTCTTTAACCAGGTTTTTTTCCCCAAGACTGCCTTTCAAGAAACTGTTGTTACAGTTAGAAGAAGGAAGGCCATTTTTACACTGTCATGTATCAGTCAGCTTAATTGGGAATAAATAGAAACTATCCACTTGCATAGGAAGAAAGCATAAGATACTGGTTCTTAAAAAGAGTGTCTACACTAGGAAGTAGTTTTACACTATTAAAATAAAGTACCCTATTAAAATAAAGTCTGAATTAACTCCCCCATCTCTGGGATTGATTGCAGGGCAGTTCATTTAACACTGTTCTAAAGTGATTTTCTTTAAATGATACTGATCAGATAAAAAGTCAGATGTTTGAGCCAAAGCTTTCCTTGATCTGAATCATAGCTAATGTTAAAGGCTTCCCTGTTACTGAGTCAATTCCTACATTCTGTTTTTCACCCAACTAACCAACGTGCCAAAATGTTTTGAATTTAACTTTCTAGCAGCTTTGTCTTTTTTCTTCATTGTTACCCCTGCATCCAGGGTCTGCCATCTGCTCCCACCCCCAGCCCTTGTGCTAGGGTTGTATCTATTCGCAAATGTGTCAGCTTCCTTCAGTTTCCTTCCCCAGCACTTCCTCTTTGCCTGACCTTTTAATGATGGAACTCCTCAGGGCTCAATTTTAGCTCTTCTAATTCTGTCCTCCTTGACTAGATAATTTCATCCATTCTTTAAGTTAAATTACTGTCTATATGCTGATGACTCAAAAATGTACGTCTCTAGCCCAGACGCCTCTTCCAGCTATAGAGTCTTATATCCAACTCCTAGCTTGACATGAGCATCTGAGTATTTTCCAGATATTTAAAACTCAGTGTGTCACAAATGGAACTCCTGGTGCATCCCACACTCCAAATGGAATGTCTGCAAGTGGTTCTTCAGTCAGTAAAAGGCACTTTCGCTCACCTAAGGTCTCACCCTGGAAATTTGAAGGCTTTCTTTGACATCTCTTTTCCCCTCACCTTTATATTGGATCTATTTTTTTTCTTTTTTTTTTTTGAGATGGAGTCTCACTCTGTCACCCAGGCTGGAGTGCAATAGCACAATCTCAGCTCACTACTGCAGCCTCCGCTTCCCAGGTTCAACCAATTATCCTGCCTCAGCCTACTGAGTAGCTGGGAGTATAGGCGCATGCCACCACGCCCAACTAATTTTTCTATTTTTAGTAGAGACGGGGTTTCACCATGTTGGTCAGGCTGGTTTCGAATGCCTGACCTCGTGATCCGCCTGCCTTGGCCTCCCAAAGTATTGGGATTACAGGCATGAGCCACTGCGCCCAGCCTGGATCTAATTTTTATCGATGCAACATCCCACACACTTCTCAATCTTCGCCTCATCTCTTTACTTCCATTGACACCACTTTAGTCAAATTGACAACTGTATCTTGTTTTAAACATTTAAATATTCTAATTTTCTCCATTTCAATTTATTTTTTCTCTTTTCAGTTTATTCTCAACAGAATGAGGAATGCATTTATAAATGCATTTATGATCATACCAACCTCTGAAATAAAACCATTTAATGACTTCACATTGCCCTTAAAGTATGGTCTAAAATCCAAGGCAGGTCTACAAAGCTGTATGTAGTCAAACACCTGCCAGCTTCTCTGGCCACATCTGACACTTTTCCTTCATACTTTTATGCTGAATTCCTGGAACATGATATTATCTCCAACTTGCAATCCTTTCTATTTGCTTTTCTCTCTGTGCGGAATACTCTTTCCCCCGTTTTTTTGTCTAAAGTTGTTTAGTCCTCTGGTTTGTCTTGCATGTTACTTCTTCAAAAAAAATTCTCTAAACCCTGAACCAAATTGGGGCCCCTTATTTACATTCTCAGAGGATCTTGTGCTTCTTTTAAGAAGGCTATACTTTTAAGGCCGGGTGTGGTGTCTCACACCTGTAATCCTGGCATTTTGGGAGGCTAAAGCGGGCGCGTCACCTGAGGTCAGGAGTTGGAGACCAGCCTGGCCAATATGGTGAAACCCCATCTCTACTAAAAATACAAAAATTATCAGGGTGTGATGGCGTGCACCTGTAATCCCAGCTACTTAGGAGGCCAAGGCAAAAGAATCACTTGAACCCAGAGGGTGGAGGTTGCAGTGAGCCAGGATTGCACCGCTGCACTCCAGCCTGAGAGACAGAGCAAAACTCCATCTCAAAAAAAATTGCTATACTTTTATAGATTCTTTATAATAATTGTTTCAAAGTCAGCCTTGCCCAATAGGTTCTAAAGTCTACAAAACTCAGAGCTTTTCCTAATCTGCTGACCATTTTATCCTCCATACCTAGGGCAATGCCAGACCAACTGTCAGCACATAATACATTTTTGTCACTATTTTTTATGGGATGAATTGTGTCTGCCGAAAAGATATATTGAGATCCTAACTTCCACAATGTTGGAAGGTGAGCTTTGTTGGAAATAATGTTGTTGCAGATGTAATTAGTTAAAATGTGGTCATACTTAATAAGGGTGGGCCCTTAATCCAATATGATCATTGACCATAAAAGAAGTCAATGGAAGCTACAAGGGAAGAATGTCATATGAAGATGGAAGCAGAGATTGACATGCTATGGCTGAAAGCCATGGAGAACCAAGGATTCATGGCTACCCCCCAAAGCTATGAAGAGACAAGGAAGAATTCTACCTGGAGTCTTAGAGGGAGCATGGTTCTGCTGACACCTTGATTTTGGATTTTTCATCTTGCAGAAATGTGATACAATAAGCCATTCAGTTTGTGGTACTTTGTTACAGCAGCCCTATAAAATGAATACACTGTTTATACCTAAGTGCATTCTTTTAATATGCTATGCATTATTCATCTCTAAGTCCTCAGTACCTAGCACTATTGGAACGTAATATGTACTTAATAACAAAATACTGGTATATTGATTATGTATAGACACAGTCAGAATCTAACCATATGCTCAACTCTAAATAAAAGCAAGTAGTAAACATCAAAAAGTTACATGACACCAAAAATCTTACTCCTAGGTCTTTATCCAAGAAAAAATGTGAATTTATATATAGAAATGTTTATAATGGTATTATTCATTATAGCCCAAACTGAAATCCACCAAAATGTCTTTTAATGACAAACTGTCATTCCTCCATGCAATGAAGTACTACTCAGTAATCAAGAGGAATGAACTATTGATACACAATGCTGATAGATTTCAAATGCATTATGCTAAATGAGGAAAGTCAGACTTAAAAGATTACAAACTGCATGAATTCATTTATGGCATTCCAGAAAAAGGCAAAGCTATAGGGACAAAGAACAGTTAAGTATTGTCACAGTTTGAAGTGAGGAGAACATTTGAATACGAAGGTTCGGCACGATGGAATTATTTGAAAGTTGCAGTTGTTCTGTAACCTGATTGTGATGGTGGTTATGTGAAGGTATGCAGGTGTTCAAACCCATAGATACTCAAATAAATTTAAAAGTTAAAAAAATGGGCTGAGCCCAGCATCTCATGCTTGTAATCCCAGTGCTTAGGGAGGCCAATGTAAGACAAGCACTTGAAGCCAGGAGTTCAAGACCAGCCTAGGCAGCACAGCTTGTCTCTACAGAAAAAAGTAACAAACAAAACAAAAGAAAACAAAAACTTGGTGCTGTGCCATAAACCTGTAGTTCCAGCTACTTAGGAAGCTACCTTAGGAAGCTAAGGTGTGAGGATCACCTGAGCCCACTGTAGCTCAGGCTACAGTGAGTCACGTTTGTGTCACTGCACTCCAGCCTGGGTAACAGAGTGCGACCTCATCTCTAAAAAAAAATGAAACAAATAAATAAATGAATAAAATGGAGGGGCAATAATAAGGAAGAGAACCAAATTAAATGTATAGATCAAATAAATTTTTTAAAGCGAAAAGAAACTATGTGTAACATGAAGTGGCTATACTTCATGAGAAAATAACTTCAAATCTTTCTTACATGAGTGTCTACAAGTTTTAAGGGCATCGAGAACTATGCACATCTAAGATGAAAGCCTGGTGTAGGCAAATGGTCTCTGCCCTCATGCGTCATTATATACTTAACTAAGGAGAACATTTTGCAGGATTTGTAAAAGTACTTAACGCCTTTTTAGTTCCTCACCACTAATCCAAAACTGGCTCTGAGCAATAGCGGCTGGAAGCCATTACTTTGTAATAGTTACTTCCCATTCTGTAGCCTAGGTAAAATGAATGGATAGTTCTAGTTTAATTCCTAATAAACAGGTGCCTCCATATGACAGATTGTGCTAATTGTCACCCTGCTGTTAGATTTAGTGGATCCCTCAGAGAATGAGCCTCAGAGGCTGAAACACCCTATAGGACAGTCTTGAATTTAACAATTTACAATACATGATTCTGCCAGTCTCACTGGGTGTTCATAGGCCTTGAGTCACTAGTGAGTAGCTTTGCCATGGTTTGTGGAGGGGTGGAGACATTACTGCATTTTCCAGCATGCCTGCTGTTCTGCCAGTAAACGGACTTCAGGACCATTGAACCAACACCTGTCATACAGCAAACACAGAGATCGTGACTTTGGAACAATTTTCCTTCTTTAGTGTCCGTAATAAGTACAGTTTTCTGGTCTCAATTTCCCTGTTTGATCCCCTGATACTGTATATTTTTTTCTTTAATAACCTGATGCTAACGTAGCCCCTCTCATCCTAAAGCATCATTGGTATTTTCTTACTCATTGTCCAGTGATGATCTTGAGGTAGGAGGCAGGACTTGACTCCAGAGGTGGGGCTTAGACACTGGATCAAACTGAAGACTAGCTAAAACAGGTCAGGGGTGGAAGCACTGCCCCACAAGATATGCCCACCAGTATGCCTTATATCAGTTTACCATTGCCATGGCAACACCTGAAGTTACCACCCCTTTTCATGGCAATGACCTGACAACCTGGAAGTTACCATCCTCATCCTGGAAATTTCTGCATCAACCACCCCTTAATTTGAGTATAATTAAACGTGGGTATAAATAGGAGTTCAGAACTCCCTCTGAGTTGCTGCTGTGGGCACACTGCCTATGGGGTAGTCCTGCTTCACAAGGAGCAGTAAGTATCCCTGCGCTGCTGTACACTCTGCTGCTTCAATACAAGTTACAGATTAATACCACTAGCTTGCCCTTGAATTCTTTCCTTGGCAAAGCAAGGACCCTCCTGGGCTAAGCCTCAATTTGGAGGCTTGCTTGTCCTGCCTCAGTCCTTCTCTATAACCTCTCCTTTCAATAGAGTGTGATGGCTGCAATTAACTGCTTACCACTATCACTAAGATAGGCAGACTGTATTTCAAGATTTCTGGTTAGACAGTATCTTATTTCAGTCATTATGATCCAAGATTTTGTCATCAGTTTTGCGAGATAAGAAACCCAAATTAGTCAGTGTCCTCAGATTGGTAAGATTCAGGAGGCTAGCTTTAACTAAACACCTTAGTAAAAGATTGCAGAACAATCCAAAAAAAATAAGAATAGCTTGTAAATATTAAATTAAAATTAAGTTATCTTGTTGGTTTTCTGCTTTCCATGGCATCTTCAGTGTTGCCCCTCTCTGTGGAAACATGTATACGGAAAAGCCAACTGTCTTCTGCAGGGAACATGTAATATACATGTCTCCCATATAAAGTCTACTTAGTATGATCACTCAGTGAGAACATGAGAGGTAGTACAGATATCTTTAAATATATGAATTGTGTTGCCTATTTCCTAAAAATAAGACAGTTCTATGCTACAGTGTATGTACCTTTTTTAGTTTGGATTACTACACAGTGGTAATAAGTAGACTGATCTTCTAATGTCTCTCTTTTGATACCACGGAAGAAAAGCAATCCCTTGTGATAAACGTAAGAGCAATCTTTTGAAGAGGATACATATTCCCACTGTCAGTCACCCAGGGGAAGGGAAGTATTCAGACACAAAGGAGAAACCTGGGCAGTTGAGAGAAGCTCCTTGCTAAGCCTGGACATGGTTGCACTTGTTATGTATGTATGCATGTATGTATGTATGTATGTATTTATTTATTTAAGAAGGAATCTCACTCTGTTGCTCAGGCTGGAGTGCAGTGGCATGATCTCGGCTCACTGCAACCTCCATCTCCAGGGTTCAAGCAATTCTCCGTCCTCAGCCTCCCCAGTAGCTAGGATTACAAGCATGCAACCACACCAGGTTAATTTTTGTATTTTTAGTAGGGACAGGGTTTCACCATGTTGGCCAGGCTGGTCTAGAACTCCTGAGCTCCAGCGGTCCACCCTCTTCGGCCTCCCAAAGTGCTGGGATTACAAGCATGAGCCACCGTGCCCAGCCTGGACTTGTTATTTCTTATTTGACTCTTGAAACTTGGCTTTGCTTTGTGGCAATAGAGGCATAAATAATACTATAGGGTGCACCAAGCAAAACCTATGTCCACTGAACTTCATAAGTAGAAAACTGCAGTTGAATATTTTTTTGCTTATTCTACTAAGATTCTTTTTTCATTTATTAGACTATTTAGTAAGGTCTTATTTAATATTCTGTCTTGTTATCAGCTGTGCAATAGAAAATCAAGGAATAGGCTGCTGGCTACATCTGGACAGATGATCAAATATGGCACCATCTCACTGGGGCCATTACAGTCATGGCAGAATAATTACAGAGACATCTCCAAATGCAAGGTGAATTTCTGGGAATTATTTTTCTGGTATAATATGGCAAAATTTTAAGGCCTGTACATGGTCTTCTTAAGCTTGATGGCAAATTTCCTGTAATACCCTGTTAAATCTATTTTATCTATTTACCACTTTGTTAGTTTGGAGCAGATGACTTTTGCCAACATACTGCTCCCTGGATTTTCCTGTTTGTGTTTCATCAAGAGAACTTCCTCTGGCCGGGCGTGACGGCTCATGCCTGTAATCCCAGCACTTTGGGAGGCCGAGGCAGGTGGATCACAAGGTCAGGAGATCAAGACCATCCTGGCTAACACGGTGAAACCCTGTCTCTACTAAAAATACAAAAAATTATCTGGGCGTGGTGGTGGGCGCCTGTCGTCCCAGCTACTAGGGAGGTTGAGGCAGGAGAATCGCTTGAACCTGGGAGGCAGAAGTTGCCGTGAGCCAAGATTGCGCCACTGCACTCCAGCCTGGGCGACAGTGCGAGATTCTGTTAAAAAAAAAAAACTTCCTCTTTTGTTCACATTGTCTTTTTCTAAACAGTGTTTGATTCAATTGTTTAGACATGTCCTTTCTAAGTTACATTATATTTTAGTTCTGTCTCCCTGAGATTACACATAGGTCACCTTGAGTGGAACCATGGATATTTTAAAACTACTCAGCCATATCTTTATAGGAAGACTGAAGGTTTATTCCTACTAATGGCTTATCTCATCCATTGTGTGTACATTTTGCTTATTCAGTTCTCAGAAACAATTCCTTCCTTTAATTTATATAATTGTTGACAGTGATCTATCTTTGGCAATGTGGTCTATGCATGTTTATGCACTTGCTATATTTAGAGGAAACTTACTGATTCCTGTTATATTTAGCATAATGTAATCATTTGTTTTCTTTTGCATTATCATTCTTAAAGACCCTTGGTAATTTTAGAGGAAATTTAAAGGAGATATGACAAACTGATCTGAGAATAAATTATAAAAGTTTTATTCCAATTCTCCCTATGGAATAAAAGATTTACAATTTTTTTATATTATTGATTTTTGTACTGTCTAAATGTAATCTTCTTTTGAATTTAAACTTCTGTTTTCTTACAGCTAAGAGAAAAACAAGCTAATATTATTTTGATTAAATATAACTTTTCTAATAAAAATGCGTACAGAAAATAAATCCCTATGGGAGAACAAAATAATTTCTTTCCTTCCTGGTAGTTAAGCCCTTCAGTGTACAAACTCTGCCTAAGTCCCAAGAGTCTCACTTTTAAAAGTGAACAGATAGCCTCTGACCACCACATGTATAAATAAATTCTTTAGGTGAAAAATAGAAGTCAAATAAATAATAACAAAAAGGGATTCAGAGGGAACAGAGATAATAAAGGGAACAGAAGGAAAATCTAACAATTAATATCTTCAGAAAGATAAGTCATTACAAACACAACTTAAATAGAAAATTCTCTCTAAAAAGGAGACTAAAAAACAGTTACAAAAAGAACTCTTGGAAAGTAAAAATGAGATGTCAGAAATATTAAGAAAAAAACAGATGGCCAGGCACGGTGACTCACGCCTGTAATCCCAACACTTTGGGAGGCCGAGGCGGACGGATCACTTGAGGTCAGGAGTTCAAGACCAGCCTGACCAACATGGCGAAACCCTGTCCCTACTGAAAATACAAAAATTAGCCAGGCATGGCGCCATGAGCCTGTAATCCCAGCAACTCAGGAGGCTGAGGCAGGAGAATCACTTGAACCCAAGAGGTGGAGGTTGCGGTGAGCCGAGGTTGCACCACTGCACTTCAGCCTGGGCAACAGAGCGAGACCCCGTCTCAAAAAGAAAAAGGAAAAGAAGGAATGATGGAAGATAGAATTGAGGTAGTATCCCAGGAAGTAAAATACTAGAGAGATAGAAAATTAAAGAGAAAATAATGAGCAAATGAGAACCAGTTTAGGAGGTTTAACATCCAATAGATAAAATCCAAGGTCCACTTTATCTCTTTTATTATTCTAGAATTCCTGTAAAAGAACTGAATGCAGTAAAATGTACCCAAAGTTAGGACACATTTTTCCTTTTTAAAAGGACTCACCATGGACCAGCACAATGAATGATAAAATAGTCCTGCAAGAAGACTTACTGTCATAAAATTTTAAACACCTGAGATAGAGAAGATCTTCAAAAACTCAGAAAGTACTGTGACTCATGAGGACATTTGATATTTCTGAGAAAAACAGAAAGCTAGATGGCCATTGAGAAATGTTTCTAAATGCTGAATGTGGGAATATTTATTTTGAAACTCAGTTTCAATGCTTAGTTAAACTGTTAATCTGGTGGAAGGGAGAAATGGGGGCACTTTTAGACATGCAAGATCTCAAAATGAAATTGCCATCTCTTACACCATTTCTCAGGAAGATACTAGAAAATGTGTTCCAAAAAATGAGGAAGTAATCCAACAAGCAAGATTACAAAGAATTCAGGAATAAAGGCTGCAGTGCACGAGAGAAATGAAGCAAGTCATCAAGAAGCAGAGAAGGCAAATTCCAGGATGACAGTTGTAAAGAGGCCAAGAAAGAAGGCTTACAGTGCAGGCAGAGATGGACAGAAGGCTTTAAGAAGGATATGTCAGAGTTGGGGGACAGATAAGAATGCAGGGATAAGCATTTGGTAAATTACCTGATAAATTTTTCTGCATACATTTATGTATCTGCTAGAGTTTGTGATAAACTACTAATAGGTGCAAATCAAATCACAAACTTTAGCAAGAGGTGACTATCTGTTCATTCTTGTTATTGGACTGAACTGGAATTCATTGACCTGGTGCGGTAATGCCAAACATCCACCCTGAGGTTTGGAGCAGGAGAAAGGAGGGTGTTTATTTGGAGAGTGCCAAACAAGAAGAATCCAGCAGCTCATACTTAAGACCTGACCTTTCAGCCCAGGCGAGGTGGCTCATGCCTGTAGTCCCAGCATTTTGGGAGGCCGAGGTGGGTAGATTGCTTGAGGCCAGGAGTTTGAGACCAGCCTGGCCAACATGACGAAACCCTGTCTCTACGAAAAATATAAAAATTAGCCGGGCGTGGTGGCGCATGCCTGTAATCCCAGCTACTTGGGAGGCTGAGGCACAAGAATCGCCTGAACCTGGGAGGCTGAGGTTGCAATGAACCAAGATCAAGCCACTGTATTCCATCTTGGGCCACAGAGTGAGACTGTCTCAAAGTAAAAAAAAAAAAAAAAGGCCTTACCTTTTTCCTTTCTGATAGCTTTCAAGTAAGGGTCTTTAAAGGAAGGGGTAAATTTTAGGAAAGCAGAAGTTACAGACAAAATCCTAAATCAATACATTAAGGTGATACATTGATTTGGCCTAAAAGGGCAGGATTTTTTTTTTTTTTTGAGATGGAGGCTCACTCTGTCGCCCAGGCTGGAGTTCAGTGGCACAATCTCTGCTCACTGCAAGCTCCACCTCCTGGGTTCATGCCATTCTCCTGCCTCAGCCTCCTGAGTAGCTGGGACTATAGGTGTCCGCCACCACACCCAGTTAATTTTTTTTGTATTTTTAGTATAGACGGGGTTTCACCGTGTTAGCCAGGATGGTCTCGATCTCCAGACCTTGTGATCTGCCTGCCTCGGCCTCCCAAAGTGCTGGGATTACAGGTAGGGCAGGATATTTTTATTTGGGGGCTTACAGGTTATAGATAGATGCAAAGGTTTCCTTATTTGTAATTGGTAGGAAGAGAAGCTTTGTTTAAAATATGGGGTTAAGGGAAAAGGTTAGCTCTGGCTCATGGATATGATTTTCTCCAGGCTTTTCAGGAAGACATTTAGAGCAAAGACCTGCAGTCAAAATTTAGTCCTCAGTTTCTCCTTCTCTGAGGTCTATGTGACAGCAGATCTGTTTGGAGGAGGTCCAGATTTCTGAAAAACTCATGGACATATGTTAAGCTGTTATCTTTAGTTTCTGTAGGGAACCAAACATCCTGCAATTTTAACTTCCTTGGCTATTGTTTTAAGCTGCTATTACCTTCTCGCTTGTTGAGTTGCCTATTTACTTCTCAGGGCTAGCTTAGGTACCTAGAATTTCCTTTACGGAACTGAAGATTTTCCTTTCTTTTTCTATGCCGGCCCGTATGAGGGGTTCCTACTCTGTCTCATTTTGAGCAAACCAGTATACCATGATTATTTCACTACTACTGTATAAATATTGCTCAATAAAAAGCAACTTTAACTGCTTATTATTTAACTCATAATTGTGATATAAATATATTGAGAGATACATGTAAAACCACTAAATGTTCATCATTCATATTGGGAACTTGACAGTGTCTAAAATTGATAAGCCTTGAAATAGCACCATAAATACACTTTTAAAATACAGACAGCTATCAGAAGAAAAAGTTAAAGGAATTTAAAGTAGTGGTTGTATTCATGAGAGGAATGGAGGCATTTTCTAAAAACCTATTGATATTTGTATACTATTTCATCTTTATGAACTATGGTTTTTATGTTACTTTTAAATATATATTATATTTTATATTGTAATAATCATCGAAGATGTGAGACGTTAAGATATGCCACCCAGAATATACTTCTTTGGCATATTTCCAGATGGCTATTCAGGGAAACAGGCTTAGCTTTAAAAAACTGTCCTTTTGTAAAAGAAAACTACTTCTAGAAAGAAAATCTACATTAGTGAAGCAAAGAGTGGATGCTGTCTTTCTCTTAAAGCCCCTCCTCTGCCTTATGTGGATCTAGGAATGATTAACTCACAGGAAAAGGAAATTAAGAGTCTAACACATTTTAAGGTCTGACAAAGACACTTTTACCAAAGGCTATCATCTGTTCTTCTGGACCAGGGAGACTTTATCTGCATAATAAGACAACAACTTTTGTTTGCAGTGTGTTTCTTCTCCCAGGATCTCCAAGCTCCTTCCCTTTCTGTACAACATAAAAACTTTAGTCATCTGGGCCTTCTTAGTTTCATTATTTTCTGTGGTTCCCATGCACATGTGCACCTTGATAAATGTTTATGCCTTTTCTCCTGTTCACCTAATGGTCTAATGCCAGTTTATTTTAGCAGGTTCCTCCTGCCCTACAAAGGAAAAGCAAACCATTTTTTTCTTCTACTCTCTATTCTCACATGCCACTCAATACAACACCCTGACACCAGGTTTTTGTCAAACACCAAGCAATCTTCCAGTAAACAGCAGCTGAGTGTCGTCCAATTTAACTCAATTCTGTCTGGAGCTATCTACTTGGGGATAGTGTGAGATCCCACAGGTTGAGGGCTCAGTCCCAAAAGACAGTCCCCCACTTCAGCTGTCAATCGTAAGCCGGGGGTTGTAACCTGTGACCAACCAGCTACGTATCAGGATTCCCATGACCTCCTCCTTGTGTTCAATTAATTTGCTAGGATGGCTGACTGAACTCAGAGGAACACTTATTTACATTTATCCATTTATTATAAAGAGTATTTCAAAAAATATAGATAAACAGCCAGATGGAGGAGATGTACAGGGCAAGGTATGGGAGAGGGAGCTGGGAGCTTCCATGCCCTCTCAGGGAGCACTGCCCTCCAGGTACCTCTGCATATTCAACAATTTGGAAGCTTTCCAAATTCTGTTCTTTAGTTTTTCATGGAGGCTTCATTACATTAGCACAATCAATTAAATCATTGGGCTTTGAAGATCAACTCAAATTTCAACATCTTTCTTCTCTCTAGAGATTGAACAGTTGGGACTAAAAGTCCCAGCTCTTTCTCTAATCATCCCTTCATCTTTCTGATGACCAACCCCCATTCTGAAGCTGCCCAGGGACCCACAGCCACCAGTCATTTTATTAACATATACAAGATACTCTTCCCGGGTGCAGTGGCTCACGTCTGTAATCCCAGCACTTTGGGAGGCTGAGGCGGGTGGATCACGAGGTCAGGAGATCGAGACCATCCTGGCTAACACGGTGAAACTCCATCTCTACTAAAAATACAAAAAAATTAACCAGGCGTGGTGGTGGTGGGCGCCTGTAATCCCAGCTACTCAGGAGGCTGAGACAGGAGAATGGTGTGAACCCAGGAGGTGGAGCTTGCAGTGAGCCAAGATCGTGCCACTGCACTCCAGCCTGGGCTGCAGAGCGAGACTCCATCTCAAAAAAAAAAAAGATACTCTTCACCCAGAGATCACAAGGATTTTAGGAACCACGTGCCAGAAATCAGACACAGAGATCAAAGATACATTTGTTATCACACAATTATATACATTGTTAAAAAGTGTGGATATAAATTATAATTAATTATATTTTATTAAAATATATAGTATAACTTAGATAATTATGCATTTATATAATTAATTTATAAAATATTATATAGTATATTCTAGATCTTTATAGATAGTACCTTTTTATCAGATCCATTCTGAAAATAGCCAATTTCATGATATATTTTCAAAATATAAGTTTAATGTTAAAACTTATCTTTAGTATTCAATGACCTTTATGTAGACCTAATTTTCTTAAATACACTTTCCTATCAATGGGTTTGTAGCAGGACAAGCTGCAGACAAAACCCCTCAGACACCGAGTTAAAGAAGGAAGGGCTTTATTTGGCAGGGAGCTTTGGCAAGACTCACGTCTCCAACAACCAAGCTCACCGAATGAAAAATTCCTGTCCCTTTTAAAGGCTCATAACTCTAAGGGGGTCCATGTGAGAGGGTCGTGATCGACTAAGCAAGCAGGGGGTACATGACTGGGGGCTGCATGTACCAGTAATTAGAACGGAGCAAAACAGGACAGGGATTTTCACAGTGCTTTTCCATACAATGTCTGTAATCTATAGATAACATAACTGATTAATTAGGTCAGGGGTCGATCTTTTTTTTTTTTTGGATTTATTTATTTATTTATTTATTTTCTTTATTATACTTTAAGTTTTAGGGTACATGTGCATATTGTGCAGGTTAGTTACATATGTATACATGTGCCATGCTGGAGCGCTGCACCCACTAACTCATCATCTAGCATTAGGTATATCTCACAATGCTATCCCTCCCCCCTCCCCCCACCCCACAACAGTCCCCAGAGTGTGATATTCCCCTTCCTGTGTCCATGTGATCTCATTGTTCAATTCCTACCTATGAGTGAGAATATACGGTGTTTGGTTTTTTGTTCTTGCAATAGTTTACTGAGAATGATGATTTCCAATTTCATCCATGTCCCTACAAAGGACATGATCTCATCATTTTTTATGGCTGCATAGTATTCCATGGTGTATATGTGCCACATTTTCTTAATCCAGTCTATCATTGTTGGACATTTGGGTTGGTTCCAAGTCTTTGCTATTGTGAATAATGCCATAATAAACATATGTGTGCATGTGTCTTTATAGCAGCATGATTTATAGTCCTTTGGGTATATACCCAGTAATGGGATGGCTGGGTCAAATGGTATTTCTAGTTCTAGATCTCTGAGGAATTGCCACACTGACTTCCACAATGGTTAAACTAGTTCACAGTCCCACCAACAGTGTTAAAGTGTTCCTATTTCTCCACATCCTCTCCAGCACCTGTTGTTTCCTGACTTTTTAATGATTGCCATTCTAACTGGTGTGAGATGGTATCTCATTGTGGTTTTGATTTGCATTTCTCTGATGACCAGTGATGATGAGCATTTTTTCATGTGTTTTTTGGCTGCCTAAATGTCTTCTTTTGAGAAGTGTCTGTTCATGTCCTTCACCCACTTTTTGATGGGGTTGTTTGTTTTTTTCTTGTAAATTTGTTTGAGTTCATTGTAGATTCTGGATATTAGCCCTTTGTCAGATGAGTAGGTTGCGAAACTTTTCTCCCATTTTGTAGGTTGCCTGTTCACTCTGATGGTAGTTTCTTTTGCTGTGCAGAAGCTCTTTAGTTTAATTAGATCCCATTTGTCAATTTTGGCTTTTGTTGCCATTGCTTTTGGTGTTTTAGACATGAAGTCCTTGCCCATGCCTATGTCCTGAATGGTAATGCCTAGGTTTTCTTCTAGGGTTTTTATGGTTTTAGGTCTAAGGTTTAAGTCTTTAATCCATCTTGAATTGATTTTTGTATAAGGTGTAAGGAAGGGATCCAGTTTCAGCTTTCTACATATGGCTAGCCAGTTTTCCCAGCACCATTTATTAAATAGGGAATCCTTTCCCCATTGCTTGTTTTTCTCAGGTTTGTCAAAGATCAGATAGTTGTAGATATGCGGCGTTATTTCTGAGGGCTCTGTTCTGTTCCATTGATCTATATCTCTGTTTTGGTACCAGTACCATGCTGTTTTGGTTACTGTAGCCTTGTAGTATAGTTTGAAGTCAGGTAGCATGATGCCTCCAGCTTTGTTCTTTTGGCTTAGGATTGACTTGGCGATGCAGGCTCTTTTTTGGTTCCATATGAACTTTAAAGTAGTTTTTTCCAATTCTGTGAAGAAAGTCATTGGTAGCTTGATGGGGATGGCATTGAATCTGTAAATTACCTTGGGCAGTATGGCCATTTTCACGATATCGATTCTTCCTACCCATGAGCATGGAATGTTCTTCCATTTGTTTGTATCCTCTTTTATTTCCTTGAGCAGTGGTTTGTAGTTCTCCTTGAAGAGGTCCTTCACATCCCTTGTAAGTTGGATTCCTAAGTATTTTATTCTCTTTGAAGCAATTGTGAATGGGATTTCACTCATGATTTGGCTCTCTGTTTGTCTGTTGTTGGTGTATAAGAATGCTTGTGATTTTTGTACATTGATTTTGTATCCTGAGACTTTGCTGAAGTTGCTTATCAGCTTAAGGAGATTTTGGGCTGAGACAATGGGGTTTTCTAGATATACAATCATGTCGTCTGCAAACAGGGACAATTTGACTTCCTCTTTTCCTAATTGAATACCCTTTATTTCCTTCTCCTGCCTAATTGCCCTGGCCAGAACTTCCAACACTATGTTGAATAGGAGTGGTGAGAGAGGGCATCCCTGTCTTGTGCCAGTTTTCAAAGGGAATGCTTCCAGTTTTTGCCCATTCAGTATGATATTGGCTGTGGGTTTGTCATAGATAGCTCTTATTATTTTGAAATACGTCCCATCAATGCCTAATTTATTGAGAGTTTTTAGCATGAAGGGTTGTTGAATTTTGTCAAAGGCTTTTTCTGCATCTATTGAGATAATCATGTGGTTTTTGTCTTTGGCTCTGTTTATATGCTGGATTACATTTATTGATTTGCGTGTATTGAACCAGCCTTGCGTCCCAGGGATGAAGCCCACTTGATCATGGTGGATAAGCTTTTTGATGTGCTGCTAGATTCGTTTTGCCAGTATTTTATTGAGGATTTTTGCATCAATGTTCATCAAGGATATTGGTCTAAAATTCTCTTTTTTGGTTGTGTCTCTGCCTGGCTTTGGTGTCAGAATGATGCTGGCCTCATAAAATGAGTTAGGGAGGATTCCCTCTTTTTCTATTGATTGGAATAGTTTCAGAAGGAATGGTACCAGCTCCTCCTTATACCTCTGGTAGAATTCGGCTGTGAATCCATCTGGTCCTGGACTCTTTTTGGTTGGTAAGCTATTGATTATTGCCACAATTTCAGCTCCTGTTATTGGTCTATTCAGAGATTCAACTTCTTCCTGGTTTAGTCTTGGGAGAGTGTATGTGTCGAGGAATTTATCCATTTCTTCTAGATTTTCTAGTTTATTTGCGTAGAGGTGTTTGTAGTATTCTCTGATGGTAGTTTTTATTTCTGTGGGATCGGTGGTGATATCAGGGGTCGATCTTTAACTACCAGGCCCAGGGTGTGGTGCCGGGCTGTCTGCTTGTGGATTTCATTTCTGCCTTTTAGTTTTTACTTCTTCTTTCTTTGGAGGCAGAAATTGGGCATAAGAAAATATGAGGGGTGGTCTCCTCCCTTAGGTTCAAGCTGTATTGTTTCTTCTCTGCTCATTTAAGATGTCAAATTTATGCCTTGCTTTGGGATTAATGGCTGTTCCTATTTTTTGCATCAACTTTCTGAAAATGAGCCAATCATGTAATGTCATAAAGCAGGGTTGTCATAAAATGTCTCTGATGAACAAGAACAATTCCACAGTAGAAAAAGTCTTTCAAAGCAGTCACCCAGAAGCCCAGGAATAGAGAACTTGAATTTTATGATCCATATCAATATTTTACTGTGGTTACAAATCTAACACAGATGCCAAGATATTTTATGTTGCCAAATGCTTCTTTTATTTTTCAGCACATGTTGTGTGTTCTATTTAGTAGTGAACACATCTGTTAGAACGTTTTTCTTTTCTCTCTCCCTGCATGTTTTTTTTGTTTGTTTGCAATTCTAGTTCCTCCAAAGATACAAACTCATACATCAACTCAATGCATGTTTTATGACTTACAAACATTGTTAAATGATGCTATTCTAAACAGTTGTGGGTTAGGAAATGACTGCTTTGGGAAAGGTATTTTTAGTGGCAAAAGTACTTTTCATTAATCTCAGTTCTCCAGGTTTAGAATCCAGACAGAGCAGGAGAACTCTGAAAGCCACTGGGTTTCAGATTCTCTGGGAGTATGCACATAGAGCAAGGGCAGAAATAAACGGGTGTTTCGTGCGATGCTATGTGATGGATTTTCTACTTGCCCTTCTTTACTTCAAGTTGAAATCACTCACCAGGCTGGCAGAAGTTTGCTTAAAAGGTGCAGGGGTGAGGGTGGAGGAGCCAATGTGCTTGCTTTTCCTGCCAATGAAAACTAGGAGGTACGTTATTTTTAAGAGTCTCTGCCAGTCCTCCCCACTCCGTCTGCACCAGCCCATCTTCCCCACCGAGTTGAATCAACATTTTCAGTGGCAGCCCCTCTGGAGTAATCAATGAGAGGTGTTGCTGGGAGAGGAACTGAATGATTTAGCACAATGGTAAGGCAGCATATCGACCACCAACAGCAGGAGGTGGGGGGCCGACTGACAGTGGCTTTTATAGCCTCTGCCTCCTTGTGAAGAATGGTGCATAATGGGGAAGAGTGGAATAGTGCAAGGACTCTGTATCTGTCAGGCACAGATAATCTTTCCTTTTTACACAGTCAATTGGGATGTCATTTGCATTTTCGATTGAAGGGAGATGAATACACAATTGAGTTAAGGAGCAGAATCCCTCAAGGCAAGTGAAAAAAAATTAAAATTTCAGAAGACATGTGTGTATGTGCCCGTGCATGTGCTTGTATGTGTGTTTGTGTGGCAGGGAGAAATCTGGTTATATACTGTTCTTTGGTTCGAACAAATTTGACCCACAGAAGCTTCCTCAATCCAGCCTCACCTGAATCAACCTTCCACCCTTTATTATTTTAACAGAGGCACTGGAGACTTAATTTGCTCTTAAATTTGTCTTTTTAAAAAATTGTTATTGACAATCGGAGTAGCAATAAGGTTTTTTACCAACAGCGAATCCGTACGGGTCTGCAGCAACCTGAATTTTTACCTCCTTAGAAGAAAGAGGGGCATAAGGCAGAAGGAGAGACCAAGGCAAGTTTTAGAGCAGGAGTGAAAGTTTATGAAAAAGCTTTAGGGCAGAAATGAACAAAAGGAAGGAAAGTACACTTGGAAGAAGGCCAAGCGAGCAACTTGAAGAACAAGCGCACATTTTGACCTTTTGACTTGGGGTTCTATGTGATGGCATACTTCTGAGGTCGTGTGTCACTTCTCCCCTGATTCTTCTTTTGGGGTCAGCCGTCCTTGTGTGCAGTGACCTAGCAGCACTTGGGACTCAGTGTGTTTATTGGAGCGGTACTCATGCTCACTTGAGGTGTTCTTCCCTTACCAAATGAATATCCCTACGAGGTCATTTACTAGCTTAATTCTGCCATTTTGCCTCTTACTCAGCAAGCTTGAGTTCACTCACCCCAACTCCAGAGATCTTATCAGGAAGCTGTTGATCATCGCTTTCAGGTTTTCTCTATGTGGAGGCTGCCTTTCCCTGGGGCCATCTGCACGTATTATTATTTTAGAGAGTTTAGAGAGACAGTTAACAACCACCTGACCATCACCTGATGGTCACCTGATATTCCTGGATCCGGGGGGATGAGGGTGGAGACCTCTCCTGCCCTGTTTATGTCTGACTAGGTGAGGTGAAAGGAAAATACTTTGGGCCCCGAAAATTACTAAGCTAAAAGTAAGATCCAAGCTGGAAACTACTCAGGGCAAACCTGCCACCCATTCTGTTCAAAGTCATCCCTCTGCTTACTGAGAAATGGATACATGTTCTGTGTCAGGCCTCTGAGCCCAAGCTAAGCCATCATATCCTCTGTGACCTGCACATATACATCCAGATGGCCTGAAGTAACTGAAGAATCACAAAAGAAGTGAAAATGGCCTGTTCCTGTCTTAACTGATGACATTACATTGTGAAATTCCTTCTCCTGGCTCATCCTGCCTCTAAAGCTCCCCCACTGAGCACCTTGTGTCCCCTCGCCCCTGACCACCAGAGAACTACCCCCTTTGACTGTAATTTTCCATTACCTACCCAAATCCTATAAAACGGCCCCACCCCTATCTCCCTTCGCTGACTCTCTTTTCGGACTCAGCCCACCTGCACCCAGGTGAAGTAAACAGCCTTCTTGCTCACACAAAACCTGTTTGGTGGTCTCTTCACACGGACGTGAGTGAAATTCTGATTGCCTCCTTTGGAAAGACTTAGCAGAGACTCAAACAATGCAACTATTTTTCTCTCACCTACCTGTGACCTGGAAGCCCCTCCCTGCTTTGAGTTGTCTCCGCCTTTCTGTACTGAACCAACATACTTCTTACATGTATTGATTGATGTATCATGTGTCCCTAAAATGAATAAAACCTAGCTGTGCCCCAACTGCCTTGGGCACATGTCATCAGGACCTCCTGAGGCAGTGTCACAGGTGCACGTCCTTAACTCTGACAAATAAACCTCCTAAAATAATTGAGACTTGTCTCATCATTTGTCTCAATTGACACTTCCTACTGTAACAGTTTTGGTCACTGATTAAGACTGAGTTTGCAGATGTACATGCCTGTAAATGTAACTCTTAGCTGCCTTGATAAGAAGGATGGTGTAAAAAGATTGCCAGACGGTCCTGAGCAAAGGAGTCAGTAATTGTGTGTGTGGCAGCGGGTCGGGGTGGGGAATCTGATGTGCTGATTCTACAGCATGGTTATGAATCTTAAAAAACCAGGTTTCGTCTTGCCGGGCATGGTGGCTCATGCCCGTAATCCCAGCACTTTGGGAGGCTGAGGCGGGTGGATCACCTGAGGTAGGAAGTTCGCGACCAGCCTGACCAATATGGAGAAACCCTATCTCTACTAAAAATACAAAATTAGCCGGGCATGGTGGTGCATGCCTGTAATCCCAGCTACTCGGGAGGCTGAAGAAGGAGAATCGCTTGATCCCGGCAGGCAGAGATGGCGGTGAGCCAAGATCGCGCCACTGCACTCCAGCCTGGGCAACAATGGTGAAACTCCGTCTCAAAAAAAAAAAAAAAAAAAAGACAAAGAAAAAGCAGGTTTCATAACTATATCACTGTAACTTCCACAACTAGATGGGAAGCCAAAATCTGCATATTTACTTTCCTTTTTCTTTTTTTTCCCCAAGGGAATCTATCTTAATATCTAGGATAGTTAATTTTCTTCCTTTACAAAATAACACACAAATAACCTGCTCCATTTCAAATCTGGAATACTGTGAGAGTTTTTAAAAATCATTTTTAGTTTTTACTATCAAGCTTTTGATGTTAAAATATGTATGATTATAAAGCCTCAAGTAAGAATTAACTTTAAAGCCATAAGTAATTAATTCATTCAAGTTACCAGCCTTGAGTAGCACCCAAAATTGTAGCATTTCTTTCCTAATAAACCATATTTACAGTAAACTCTGAGTTCCTTTGGCAGAAACAAATGTGTGGCTGGAGATAATCTGTTCTAGCTAGTAATGATTAAAAATCTAAATACATAACTGTCTTTTAAACAGTCTTTATCCAAACTGCAGTTTGTGCCTCAAATTCAGAGATCCATGGTATAATATCATAATCTATTCCCCTAGATCAATATCTTGTAAATCACGAACCTGATTCTGAGTATAATATATTCAATTGAGTAGTGAGCATGGCATGGCATACCTATGAAACCTGGGGATAATGATTAGTTATCAGAAACTACACACTAATCTATTATATCTGACCAGAAGTTTGACTGAATGTATATTAAAATTGTCAGTGGCGTGTGAACCAGAGCAACTCCATCTTAAATAGGAGCTGGGTAAAATGAGGCTGAAGCCTACTGGGCTGCATTCCCAGACAGTTAAGGCATTCTAAGTCACAGGATGAGATAGGAGGTCAGCACAAAATACAGGTCACAAAGACCTTGCTGATAAAACAGCTTGCAGCAAAGGAGCCAGCCAAAACCCACTCAAACCAAAATGGCAATGACAGTGACCTCTGGTCGTCCTCACTGCTACACTCCCATCAGCGCCATGGCAATTTCCAAATGCCATGGCAACCTTAGGAAGTTACCCTATGTGGTCTAAAAAAGGGAGGCATGAATAATCCACCCCTTGTTTAGCATATAATCAAGAAATAACCATAAAAATGGGCAACCAGCAGCCCTCGGGGCTGCTCTGTCTATGGAATAGCCATTCTTTTATTCCTTTACTTTCTTAATAAACTTGCTTTCCCTTCGCACTGCGGGCTTCCATGAATTCTTTCTTGCATGAGACTCAAGAACCCTCTCTTGGAGTCTGGATCGGGACCCCTTTCCTATAACAATATGACTTCAGCAGAGTTTGGCTCAAAGTTGTTTTGAGATTTATGAAATGAATGCTATAAGGACAATAATGAGTTTAAATAAATCAATACTAAACTCGTGTCATTTACTTTATTAATACTGGTCCTCCAGAAACATAAACTCTGCCATTTTAGGTATTCATGTTTGTGTTCTTCGTTGAATTTGCTTGTTGTCATTTGTTTGTTCTAATGGATACTATTTACTATAGGGAGGAGGAAAAAAACAAATTACCTCCCTATGCGAAGCTGTCAGAATGGTGAGAAATTCATTCTAGCTTGTTGAGTTTTGAACAGAAATTAAACTACTGTTTTTCACCTTTGAAGTTAGTGCACTAAAGGAGGGTTGTGATGTTAGTAATGATTGTATGTGAGCTTTCTAGCTGTCCGTTTTGGGGATTATTATAAATTTTCACAGTGGATTGATTATAAGAAAGTTGGGGATTTGAGGGGTTTGTTTTTTGTTTTTGGCAGTAGTACACCAGAGAGCCACCTGCTGGCTTCCATGAAGAAACACATCTTTGATATCTGTGATTGGAAGAAAAAAGAAAAGGGAGGGAAAAAATAAAAAACAAAAAACAGTAACACCAATAAGCAAATCGTTTGAAGAGAATTGACTATTTGGAGGAAGGATATGTGACTCCAACATCTACATTTATTGCTGACATTTGTATTTTACATGGTTTTTCATATCCCTGTTAAAGGAATTGTTTTTAAAAAGTGATTTAGAGGGCCTTTTTTCTCTCGGAAGTCCCCTCTCTCTCACTAGAGAGAGAGCTGTTTTCCTTTCTCCTTTCTCTTTCTTTTGCCTATTAAACCTCTGCTCCTAAAAACATAAAAAATAAATAAAAATAAGTAATTTAGATTCATTAAATGTAGCAACAAACACCATCATGGTGTTGAAAAGTGTTTTCATTTTCATTATCTTATGGAAGTGAGTGTTATTCATATTTTATAGTTGGGGAAGGGCAGCTAGAAACTGAGGCCAACTGCTTTTCAGTTGAACAAGGACCTATGCCATGCATACAGCAGAGCCAGGACTTCTGATTCAACAGCAGCTGTCCTTTTCATCTTATTCAGAAATCTCATGCATCATTCTTCTTTGTATTACAATTTCTAAACTGCCTTTCACCATGTATTCACACTGCATGGTTACTAACATCATCGTTGTGAGTCATTATGATGATAAATTAAGATTGCCTTGTTAAATCCAGAAGCATGAACTGAAAGGGGGGATTGGTTTAGATATTATTTGAAGAGTAAGGGTGCCCTTTTATTCTATTTTAAATGCTAAATACCACTAGATTTAATTTCTAGTTGGAATAGCCTTACTAATTTTTAACCAAGTAAGATTTTTGTTATTATTCAAATGTAGGCGATTTGGTTTAATCCCATTCTTAGTCCCATGGGAGTTGAGGTTTTGTTGTCTTCTGTTGTCATTAGGCCAGTCAAAATACTAAATATTTCACTTGCATAATCTTTTTTTTTTTCTTTTTTTGAGATGGGAGTTTTGCTCTTGTCAGCCAGGCTGGAGTGCAATAGCCCAGTCTCGGCTCACTGCAACCTCTGCCTCCTGGTTCAAGCAATTCTCCTGCCTCAGCCTCTCAGCCTCCTGAGTAGCTGGAATTACAGGTGTGCACCACCACGCTTGGCTAATTTTTTTGTATTATTAGTAGAGACTGAGTTTCACCATGTTGGCCAGGCTGGTCTTGAACTCTTGACCTCAGGTGATCTGCCCGCCTCGGCCTCCCAAAGTGCTGGGATTGCAGGCATGAGCCACAGCGCACAGCTCACTTGCATAATCTTTTTACCTGCTATCAATTATTGGTAACTTTACATTTAATTGCCTAGTCAGCCTGCTCTCTTTTCTACTACTTGCATTGTTTTCTATTTCAAATGAAAACTACAGGAACTCTGCAGTCTAGGAATTTAAACTTGTAAATACAAGAAACAGTGATATGGCTTGCTTGGTCTTCCCAGCTCTCATTCACTAGTTGGATGTCATTGGAAAAGTTACTTAACCACCCTGAAGCATACCCTCTTCATCAGCAAGCATTAGGTTAATGATATCCACCATGAAATTAACAGAGAAGGTATTTAGGAATTTTCCATTCCATATAGGCTTTAAAGTGATTTTGTATATAAAAATGTTTTGTTTAAAAATATTTTATTTCACTCAACATTCATTAAGTACCTATTTTCCCATTCTATATTTTGAAACAATGCCCTTTTATTTATTTCAGCATTTGTAGGAAATATGATCAAGTCACGGATTTGAGAACTGGAGTACTGTAAAGATTGGGCTGTTCCAATTTATGTGACAGTCCATAATTTGATGAGTTCCCTAACCAATGTGATTCTGTTGTTTTGTCATGTTCAGGGACGGAAACTTAGTTATACTGGGAATCTGAATCATGACTTCTGAAGAACTACTATTTATAGAATACCTATTATATATGAGAAACTGTCATATTTAATGTCACTCTCATAATTGGAATATTCTTTTCCCTTTAAATAATTTTTCATTATATTTAGAATAAAACCCAAATTCCTATCTCTGGCTCCTTAGGCCGTTAATGATTGTGCCGCCATTCAGCTCTCCAAACTCCAAACGTATTGCTTTTTCCTGGTGCCATTGGCCTTTTCTCCTTTTCTCTCCTTGGTGAAGTCCCCACTAACTCAGGACCTTATTCACGTTTTCCTCTGTTTTGTATGCCTCCTCCAGCTCTTTGTTTGCTTAACTGTGTTCCCCCAAGTTACTTCCCCAGGAAGATTCTGCCATTCTAAGTATTCCAATCTTGCCCTTTACCCTTTGATATAATCTTTTATTGCATCTCTTACTTCACAAAAGTTATCATAATTTGAAATTGGGCATCTGGCTGTTTATATCAGCACTCCTTGGCTTCTTCCCAAATTCCAAAAGGCAGAGATGTTGACTGTTTCTTTATGAACAGGCAGCCCATCCAAGCACACTTTGTTAATAAACATATAGCCCTTCCTAGCAGTGTGCTTGGTCCGTAAAAGTCAATCAATGTATATGTGCACATTATGAGAATTAACTTTTTAAGGGCAGATTTACTATTCTCATTTTACAGAGGGGGAAACTTGAAGGTATCAAGTAGCAAATGTTAGACACCTAGTCATTAGCCAATCCCTTTTTGAACCAGTCTACCCCACTACAAGCCTTTCTATCAGTCTCTCACACCCTAAATGTACTCACAGATTTTCAGAAAGACATTTCTTTGGAGAAGGATTCCATCATTAATCCCCGGATTACATGCAGCAAACAGGAAAGGTGAGAGACTGATTTTGGAGAACAAATCTACACCTTAGAGGAAGGCCTCTGCTGTCTGACAGTTCCCAGAATATCAGGCCCACACTGGAGTCTGGTGCTGAGAAACCCTAAAGAGGACAGAGAAACTTGCTTCACTCCTCTGGGGAAAGAAGGGCTGATGATCATTAACACTTAAAAGCTGAGGCTGGTCCTGACGTTGCTAGCTCCACAGCAGGGAACCTTTAATATAAAGCACTGCCTTCATTAGCAATGCAGAGAATAAGCTCTGCAGATCTTTCTCAAGATTGAAAAGGGAAAATACTCTTTGGAAAAAATACTTTTTGGAAATCTTTTTTTTTTTTCTTTAGTGGCATAGTTCAACAGTCCCCTGGGCACTCATCAGTCTAATCACACTTCATGGGTCCTCATGCATGAAGAAATGCGTCCCAAAATTGGTGCTACAGTTGCCTAGGAATCTGATAAAATAAAAACATAAATACATAGATTCTAACTTCATAAAGCAGATCTATTAAAGCTTAATCCCTGTAGTAGGCCTGGTAACCTGCATTTCCCCAAATATTCTTAAAGTGATTCTCAAACTTTAAACCAATACCTAGACACTAGTCTGCTCCTTCATCCTTCTGTAGAGATTGTAGCTTAGTCAAAAGCCATTTTCTATGTCTGCACTGAATAGCTATCAATCTGTCTCACAGTTTCACAGAAGATTAAAATGAGCCCCAATTACTGCACACATTAAATAATAAAGGAATTGATTCTTCTGCCCTGCCACTACTAATATGTCCTATTCACATGAGGAAGAGTTTCTGCATCCAAATAGACTGACTATGTTTTCTCTAGCACCTATGTGAGCATTTAACACTTGATTTTAAATGTGTGCAAATGGATATTTTGAAGGCTTTCCCTTATTCTTATCAGATAATTGTAATAGGTCACCAGACCATCATGTGAACTTTTTCTTCTTTAAGTTCCCAAAAGTATCCAGTTGGCTAATCTAAATGTTCATTCATTCATCCATTCATATCATCAGCTTGCCTAAGTGCCTAGTAACAAGCACCCCAAATATCTCAAGGGCTGAATTTGTGTCTTCTACATTGCTGAATCCCTAGGAATTAAAATTATCCAAGAAACGAACTCTCATACAAAAGAAGACAAAAATATGTCAACAATTGGTTAAGTTCTATGACAGAAGTATATATAAAAGACAATGGTGAGACCACCTAAGCACATAGGAGATTCTCAATAAACAATGGCTGAATGAATAAGCATAGGAAAATAGAAGGTAGAGTAATTTCTTAGCCAGTAGAATGGAATTAAGTTAAAACCAAACCAGACAGTGAGAACACCTTGTACAAAGACCAATAAGTATTGCAGAGGATTCCTAGTCAGGTTTCTAAATAATGTCTGGGCATGGTTGGAAAGCAGAAGATACGACTTTTGCAGACATTCACTTTCCCCCTTTTCCACCATATTTGGATTTCTATTGCTTCTCTGTTCTTCCACCTGATTCAGGACTCAGATGATCAAATGTCTGTTCTGTGATGAGGGGCGTGCTCCACGCTGGACAATTGGCCCTACCATCTTCTCTAGACGGAAATGACCAGTTACATTTATAACTGGCATCCACAAAGACTTGTCAAGTGTTTTAAGACTGTTTATGGGCTTATTAAAGACAAATTCTAGTAGTGGAAACTACACTGCTTCTGGTTTGCATCTGGCGATGACACTTAACATGCTGTTTTCCTAAAGAAAATACTGAAACTCTATAAGCCTCAGTTGCTTCATTTGTAAGATGTGCATAATAAGACTTCACAGAGTGGTTAGCAATGGAGTGAATGGCATGCAAATAAAGTTCTGATACGTTGTTTTCCTTAACCAATGTATCTCCCTCCTTTTTGATGTTGTAAAATCAGTAACTGTATTCTCAAAGGAACACTGGAATTCTGGCTCAATAACCGAGTTTTGTTTTTGTTGTTTTCATTTGATTTACTTTACCGTCTCTTCTCAGCTGTGATGTTGTTTAAGTTTGACTAACTGAGGAGATTAACTGAATTTAACAATAGAAATATACTTTGTTCCTGTATTAAAAAATCCAAAGTTTACTTTTTGCATATGTTTTTTCAGTTTTATTATGAGAAAAACACCTTCTACTGGCCTTTACTTGAAAAGACAATAGAATTTTACTATATGTTAAATTGGCCTGAGAAGAAATTCGAACTCTTTTGTTTCATAAGTAATCAGTTTTGTTCATGTATACATCCTATTATATTTGTATTTTTTAATATTTTGTTAACCCCATATGTCACCTTGTCTCTGACTGACAGTGACTAACAGAATTACTTACCACAAAGCAGAAAGAAAAAGGAAAATGCACGAACACACATTCACAAAGGGTATGCCTGCACATACCTGTAAACACACAAACTAAAGTCATAAAATAAACATAGATTTAAGTGAAATCTCCCAGCCTGGCCAACATGGCGAAACCCCGTCTCTACTAAAAATACAAAAATTAGCCAGGCGTGGTGGCACATACACCTGTATTTCCAGCTACTTGGGAGGCTGAGGTGGGAGAGTCGCTTGAACCAGCTAAGTGGAGGTTGCAGTGAGCTGAGATCATGCCATGCCATTGCACTCCAGTCTGGGGGACAGAGCAAGACTCCCTCTCAAAAAAAAAAAAAAAAAACCCGGGCCTGGTGGCTCACGTCTGTAATACAGCACTTTGGGAGGCCGAGGTGGGCAGATCATGAGGTCAGATTGAGACCATCATGGCTAACACAGTGAAACCTCGTGTCTAATACAAATGCAAAAGATTACCTGGGTGTGGTGGCATGTGCCTGTAGTCCCAGCTACTTGGGAGGCTGAGGCAGGAGAATCGCTTGAACCTTGGAGGCAGAGGTTGCAGTGAGCCGAGATCACACCACAGCACTCCAGCCTGGGTGGCAGAGCAAGACTCCAAGAAAGAGAAAGGAAGAAAGAGAAAGAAAAAAAGAAAAGAAAAGAAAGAGGGAGGGAGGAAGGGAGGGAAGGAGGGAAGGAAGGAAGGAAGGAAGGAAGGAAGAAAGGAAATAAAGTCAAACCTCAAGACTCCTGCAATTTCTCCATGTTATGCACATTAAAATGAATTTTGTATGCCTTTTCTCCTATTAGTCTGCCTTTTGTCAGGTGATTTTTCAGTGAAAATTCAGAGGGCAAAAGCACCATTTTCTCTTGGCCCGCAGAGTTTTGGTGCTATCAGCAGAGTAACCAATACTGCTCTGCTCTTCTGGAAGCCACAGTTAAAGGAATACAGGACTTGACTAGCAGGCAAAGGTACGAAATTCTTAGCAATCCTGGTCTCTTCTCTGTGGAATCCAGTGCGGTAGATAATAAAAATCACTGCTTTTCCTTTTCAAATTTGAGAGTAATGAGAGAAAAGCATTTGTATGACTAGTCTTAGGTGTAGTGACTCTGGTCTATGTTTGGTATAAATACTCTTATTGTCTGATCCTTTCCCTCCCCAAAATAGTCTCTACTTTGTCCTTTGTCTCTGTCTTTTTGTAGATTCCTTCTCATTTTATGTCCTTGAGGCGGTGACTTGTGACCAAGTGGGAGCACTCTTTCTTGGTCTTCACCATTTGGAGGGCATGATTTTCACATCATATACAGTGGCCACTCTGAAAGGACTGGGAGTCTTGAGACAGTTCAGATATAAGGCACCATATTCTTTTATTCTTTGTTCCTAATGGACAAGGCTGTCAGGATAATTTTTCTTTCTTTCCTTCTTTCTTTTTTTTTTTTTTTTTTTTTGGAGACAGAGTCTCACTCTGTTGCCCAGGCTGCAGTGCAGTGGCATGATCTTAGCTCACTGAAACCTCCACCTCTCAGGTTCAAGCAATTTTCCTGAATCAGCCTACCGAGTAGCTCAGACTACAGGCACATGCCACCATGCCCAGATAATTTTTGGTATTTTTAGCAGGGATGGGCTTTTTCCATGTTGCCTAGGCTGGTCTCAAACTCTTGAGCTCAGGCATTCCACCTGCCTCGGCCTCCCAAAGTGGTAGGACTACAGGTGTGAGCCACTGTGCCCAACCAGGAAAACTTTTCTTAATAAGTCCTATATATGAGAAGCTTTTGCTGTCTTAACTCTTGTTGCCTGGTTAGTCCTGGAAAATCCAATCCCAAGAAGATCTACCCAGTATCCCAGGTGGAATTAACAGTTCTGTGGCTGGAAGTCTCCACAGATTTGTGAGGTGCTAGAGACACTGTAAGCACAAAGATTGTTTCTAACTCTCTGTGGCTACAAGAGTCTTTGTGCTTTCTTACCCTATTTCTGGGAGTAATTTTTTTTTTTTTTTTTGAGACGGAGTCTCGCTCTGTCACCCAGGCTGGAGTGCAGTGGCGCAGTCTCAGCTCACTGCAAGCTCTTCCTCCCGGATTCATGCCATTCTCCTGCCTCAGCCTCCGGAGTAGCTGGGACTACAGGAGCCCGCCACCACGCCCGGCTAATTTTTTGCATTTTTAATAGAGACAGGGTTTCACCGTGTTAGCCAGGATGGTCTTATTTCCTGATCTCGTGATCCACCCACCTTGGCCTCCCAAAGTGCTGGGATTACAGGCGTGAGCCACTGCTCCCGGCCCGTAATTTTTTTTTTTTTTAAACATGAAGGGCTGCATCTTCTGTACCCATTTTTAAAGTGCCACCTTCAAGCGGTGATTAGGTCAACAGGGCTTTGTCTTTATGAATGGATTAATGTTTTTCTTGTAGGGGTGGGTTGGTTATTTTAAGTGTGGCTTTGTTGTGAAAACAAGTTTAGTCATTTCTTGTTCTCTTATTCTTGTCCTCTCTTGCCCTTCCACCTTTCATTATGGGATGACGATGACACAGCATGAAGGCCCTTGCCAGATGCTGGCACCATGCTCTTGGAATTCCCAGTTCCAAAACTGTGAGCTAAATAAATTTCTGTTTATTATAAATTGTCAAATATCTGGTATTCTGTTGCAACAACACAAACCAGACTAAGACAACTTCTCATCACCCAGACTCATATCAGTGTTGCACATCTATCTAGAATAGTTCTTGGTCCAAATTAGGAGTTAAGAGTAAGTTTGAACAAATTTGAAAGTTATAGCATGAATTTTAGGCCATGGGAATGATATGTCATTTAAATACAGTATTAAACAAGGAAAAATGTGATAAAGAACTGAACCTCAAAGACATTAACATTTAGAAATTTGAAAGATAGGGACTAGCTATTGTATACAAAAAAATAACTGTCGGGAAGAAAGAAGAGGCTAGAAAAATGTGGTGTCACAAAAAGCAAAAGTGGAAGAAACTATTTTCAGAAGGAGAGTTAGGTCAACTTTGAAATATAAGGTTGTTGAAAAGATGAAAAGATAAAATTTAATGTATATCCATCAGTACAGTGTGCAACACATAAATATACATCAATATATAAATTATTATTATAAAATTCTAAAATACCGGGTTCAGTGGCTCACGCCTGTAATTCCAGCACTTTGGGAGGCCGAGGCAGGTGGATCACGAGGTCAAGAGCTCAAGACCAGCTTGGCCAAAATGGTGAAACCCCGTCTCTACTAAAAATACAAAAATTAGCCTGGCATGGTGGCGGGCACCTGTAATCCCAGCTACTCAGGAGACTAAGGCAAGAGAATCGCTTGAACCCAGAAGGCAGAGGTTGCAATGAGCCAAGACTGCGCCACTGCACTCCAGCCTAGGGGACAGAACAAGACTCCATCTCAAAAAAAAAATCTAAAATATATGTTGTACCACATTAAACAACAAGTATCTCCCACAAATTAAATGCTAAAATTGAGTAGAAAAAATCTTGGTGAATGAACCAAATATCAGATCATGTATATCTCAGGGAACACATTAAGCATAATCATGAAAGAATGTCTGACATTCGCTTTGGGTGAAGTAGATTGCTATGGACTAAATGTTCCCCCCCAAAATCCATATGTTGAAACCTAGTCCCTAGTGTAATAGCATTTTGAGGTGGAACTTTTGAGAGGTAATTATGTCATGAGGGTGAATTCTTCATGATGGAATTGGCACCCTTGTAAGAAGAAACATGAGAGCTAGCTTCCTATCTTTCTGCTCTGTAGCATGTGAGATGTCCTATTGTTGTGAAGATTAAATGAGCTAACCAGGTATATAATAAGGCCTGATGTATAGTATGCTCTCAGTAAATGTTAATTGTTATTTCTGTTCTTCTTGCTGTTATTTTTGGTGCTGTATTTCTTTGTTACTCTTATTAGACTGACAAAATCCATTTACACTATGTTTAGTGACAGCCTTTTGTGCACGTCTCTACCGCACTTACTCTGTGATGGCTCTCCACAACACGAATGCATACTTCTTCCATCTAGGAGTGAATCTTATAACTTAGGTTCAGTCATTGAGTGCATTCAATCCTCTTGACAGAGATTGGTTCAGATGTCATAAGCATGGGATTTAAGTTAAGATCATTGGAAAAGTCAGAGAAAACCTTGGGTTTTTGTTTGAGCTTTTCTTTTCTCCACTAGTCAGTCATAAACCTGAGATATGGAAGGCTACAGTCAGAGCATCTTGGTCCCGTGAAGTGGTGGGATTTAAATGACCAAAGAAAGACAAACCTAAGAGGCAGAACAAATAAGAACTGATGTTATAATTTGAGTTCTCAATCCAGTTATGCTGGAAACCCTTAATTCCTGGTCTTGTCAGTTACTATAGCCATCAAATCTCCATATGACTTAATCCACTTGCAAACAAAAACACAAGAAAACACCCCCAAACAATTTCATTTCTTTTTTCTTTTTTCTTTCTTTTTTTTTTTTTTTTTTTGAGACAGACTCTCACTCTGTTGCCCAGGCTGGAGTGCAGTGGGGCGATCTCTGCTCACTGCAAGCTCCGCCCCCTGGGTTCATGCCATTCTCCTGCCTCAGCCTCCCTAGTACCTGGGACTACAAGCGCCCACCACCACGCCCGGCTAATTTTTTTTTTTTGTATTTTTAGTAGAGACAGGGTTTCACAGTGTTCGCCAGGATGGTCTTGATCTCCTAACCTCGTGATCTGCCCGCCTCGGCCTCCCAAAGTGCTGGGATTACAGGCGTGAGCCACCTTGCCCGGCCACAATTTCATTTCTTATTCTCACTTGAGGAATATAAATATATTCACTATTGCTTATCTTTTTCCTTTTTGCCTATTTCCTAGACACAGAAATTGCCACCAGTTCTTAGGTTTCTTACCAAGATGATCTATTTCACCTACCAGTTTATTTTTGCTTTCCCTCTGTCAACAGAACAAATTTATTCTTTAAGCTAATGTTGAATTTGACAATGGTAGAATATCTCCACTTATGACACATCTCTAGTCTTTTAAATCTAGATAGGGTAAGTTAGGATACCTTGCAAGTAATATGGTGCAAAGAAGAAACTTTTGGCCATAAAATGTATAACCAATCCAATGAACAGATATTTTCTGTTTTGCATTTAAAAATCACTAAGCCACAAAAAACAAACTACAGTGCCCCAAACAACTTTGGAGTATATGCCTATAGAGTTCTTTCTACCGTAATCCTCTTGGTTATGTAGGAAAATAAATGAGAAAACACCTATGAACATTTAAAAACTAAGTCGTTTATAGGAATAGAGTTTAATAGTGATGATGGAATAAAAAAGATACCGAGTATCTGAACAAGCCCCTGAGGAAGATAAGGTCTTTCTATTTTAGAGCTATTGGATATATGTTTGCTTCCCCCTTTAAGTTTCTTCATTTCTTTGTACAATGATCTAGCTCTATTTTCCACCAGGTTTATAGCTAAGGCTTTCACTTTAAATCTGTTCATCTTATTTGTGATCCAGATGACAGAAAGCAATTGCACTAAGTCCTTAAGTCTGTTTGCATTCAAATGGTGCCTCCCAGGCCTGATTTACATTACCCAAGCAGGTTTTGTCTGGAAAATTCACTTTCCCTGTCTGGAAAATTCACTTTCCCTGAGACTTGCATGTGGGTGTCAATTTTCATCAAGGGTGAATCTATTAGTCTCCTTCATTTCCTGATTACTCAAGGTTTTATCAACTAGAAGGGATTTAACATGACTGAAGGATAAGCGCTCTATCCATTTCTCTAGATATGGTAAATTTTCTCTCTGGGTCTACCCAGATAATCACAAAGTCAGGTACCTGGGCCATAATCTTTGAGCCTATGATGGAATAGCTTTTACTGAATGGGACTTTGTTCCATGGACTTGCATTAAAGGCCATAATAAGAGTCAGTCTTAGGAAAACGTAGACCTTACTTGTATCAGGGCCTGAGAAAATTTGTCAACAAGTGTGTCTTTCATAAAAAAGCTCTTAATCGTGATTAAGGCATAGTCCATGGCACACTGGTGAGCTGGGAGGTGTGACAAAATATTGATTCATTCAGTCTTCAGGGACAAATGGCAATGCCCTAGGGCTCATCCTTCCTGGCTGAGAGAAAACTCATCTATTTATCACAGTGCACCTTAAAAATAGACCAATTTCCCTTTGCTCCTTGATAAGAAAAAGTTTGGGAGCACTGCTAATGACTATGCCAGTAGATTTTCTAAGTAACTAGCTTTTATTTTGTATTGTAGGGGCTAAGTAAAACATCCCCTTCACCTTCTGAAGTTTCACTGAAAATTAATTGATAAAGGGCAGATTAATAGAAGAAAAAGCATACGCCAGGCGTAGTAGCTCATGCCTGCAATACCCACACATTTGGAGGCCAAGGCAGGAGGATTACTTGAGGCCAAGAGTTTGAGATCAGCCTGGGGAACATAGTTGAGAGCCGATCTCAACTAAAAAATAAAAAATAGCTGTATGTGGTGGCTGCTACCTCTACTCCTAGCTACTTGGGTAGCTGAGGCAGGAGGATCACTTGAGCTCAGGAGTTTGAGGCTATAGTGAACTATGATTATGCCACCACACTCCAGCCTGAATGAAAGAGTGAGACCTATCTCATAAATAAATAAATAAATAAATAAATAAATAAATAGCATACTAAATTCATTTTAACATACACAGCAGTGGGAAAATTGCAGAAGTGTGATTATCCAATAACCCAATGGGGTACAAAAGTTTATCCTTCATGTAGGGGAGGGGGAAGATGGGGAAAATAGACAATTCTTTTGAGAGGCAGTAAATGATTTTTAGAGAGGATGAATGGGCCTGGGAGGCAGAAATTAACTTGTAAGTAATTCTCTCTGAAATTTGAATGAACCCAAGAGGAAGACATTATCATGTGAAAAATTCTGTCCTGGTGTGGTTACATTACTCAGTCTTCTTTTCTACCATAGATAATGAGATTTTAGGGAGAGGATAAAAGGCAATTGTATTTGTCTTTGGGGGCCCAGATTTTAGGTAGGCAAGAGAACTTCAGAGAAAAGCCTCATCCCATGCTTTGGGAGACATAAAGGGTTAAGAGGCAGGAGTGGAGGAAGGTCAGACGATGCCGGTGTCATTTCTTTAGTTCAGCCATATTTCAGGATAAAATATTCTGATTTCCTTCAGTTTCCCATTTCAAATAATATTTTTAGACAGTTTCACATATTAAAATAGGATTGGTAGTTATGGAGAGAGAAATCAAGTTGGTAATTAAATGGCGAGGTATCTGAGAAAGAAGAAAACAAAATAGATTAGGACGAGAATGAATACATAGAAAAGAATGAATCTGAGCACTTTTCTTCACACCCAGTTAAACCAGTCTCTCATTTCCGGGAATAGGCCAGTTCAATTAAACAGTTGCCTCTCATTCTATAAGATGGTGTTGCAGATATAGTCTCAAAGCTAGGCCTCTATATATGATACAGGCCAAAAGATTGTTAATAAGAGGTATTTTTATGAAAACAGGAAAAAAAAACCAAAGTTTACTATGTACAGTAGTCTATAAAACAGTTTTTCTCTAGTCTGGAGGGCAGCCAGTGGCAAAGACAACTGCATCTAAGCTGAAGCATCTTTAGTTAGAGAAGGGAGGGTAGTGGCAATCTCACAAATTTTCCTGGCATAAAGGTTGTCTATACAAAAGCCATTGTGGTGATTTCTGTGGTTCCTATTTATCAAGCTGTCTAACTTCAGTTTACAGAGCTTCAGGAAAAAGGAATTTTTAATTTCTGCTGATTTTAAGTCAGAAAAGTGGGGTGAAATGGGAAACAGTATGGCAAGTTGCAGCCGGATACTGGAGGAAGCTACAAATTCAGGATTCAGTCCAGATAATAAACGTAACTCAAACATTATGGACAGGGCTAGAATCTAATAGTAGGTGTGCAGTAATTTTCTTCTGAAACATAATTTTTCTTTCTCTGGTCCCTCAGTTCTATAAAAGATGTTTATGGAAAGACTAACTTGTTTGTAAAACAATTTGCATTAACTTGACCTGTAACTTTCTGTAAAGTTACAGATAATGACTTATCATACAGGCTGTACTTAAATTGGCTTTGCTGTAACTTCTCAAAAGGAATCCAAGATTAGACTTTTAAAAGCCACTGAAGGCTAAGAAACCAAGCCAAGAATTTGACTCACCTTCAGACTGGTAATACCTGTATGAATTGGGTGAATTTCTCTCTTCTTGAGGTCTCTAAAACTTCTCTTGAGTTTCCTCAGCCTGTCAAAAAGTGACATTATTTACTTACCACAAAGCTAGGAATTTTATGAGGGAACTGTGTATATAAGGTTCTAGGCAAGTCTTTCCAAGGGTATGAGGTTGGCTTTATAAAGTCAACCCCACCTTCTCAAAGCTGTCTAAAGATATGACATTCCAGTCAAAGTCTGGGTAAAATAATTTGCATCTCCACTTGAGTCCTGTTACAAAAGAAAACAGGTCTTTAGTGAGCTTATGCAAATAACTGTATTGCCATAAAATAATAATACTCATGAATCATCCAAATTCTGGAGGAATCAAATAGTAAGAAAGACAAATGTTTCAGTTTTGTTCAGAAAAGTATAGTTTACCCAATTGCTGTAAGCTATAAATAGCTTAAAAGAAAAAAAGCTTTTTGTACTCTGGAAAACAGAATATAAAAATTATTGATAAGGCTTCAGTGACTGGAGGAACACCAGCGTCCTTGGTTTTGGGCTGATTTAGATAAAACGACATGGATATACATGGAATGATTTGAAGGAGCGGAGAGTTTAAAACGCAAGAAAGAAGGAAGAAGCTCCCCTGTACAGAGACAGAGGGCGGGGGGCTCCAAGTTGAGAGAGGAAACCCCCAGTGCAATGGCAAACAGCCAGTTATATGAGGAGGCTGAAGGAGGTGGTGTTTGATTTGCGTAGGGCTCAGGGGTTTGGTTTGCTCAGGCATGTCATTCACGTAGAGGCGAAGAAACTGGCCCTCTCACCCTGGCCTTTTAATATGCAATTGCAGGGCACCATGATGTTTTACACACGTGGGGATATGTGGAGGTGGCCATGTTGCCAGGCACATTAGGGAAGAAGGGAAAAGATGGCAGGAATTGCCATGTTTGGGTGGAACCAGTTTTTAATGGCCGCATTTGCATATCAAAGCTTGTCCGCCTACCTCTAAGAGCCAGGACTTTCCTGCTAGACAAGAAACGTTTCTGGAGCTGCTTTAAAAGAAACAAAAACTCCCCAAGGACCCTTTTTCTTCTCTATGTGCCCAAAATAATTTCTTAATAACTCTTATAACATGATCAGCAGTGTTTCAAACAAAAAAAAGTTATAAAAAATCATAATTGTTCATCAGTTCAGTCCCATGTGATTAATTCTTGTTCTGCTTGATGTTTGGTTAGCAGTTTTATGAATCTAATTTTTCTTCTATTGGAGCTTTTGAAATTCTTACCCTGTTTAATTGAATAATTTCAGTCATCAGCAGAAGTCTGTATTTCAGAGTACCTGTCAGAATCTTTTTAACTTTTTTTAGGAAACATGAAAACACAATACTTTAGAATTATAGTTGCTTGCAAAGATTTTTGAGAAAAAACATCAGAATTAAAGCTCTTAACTGTGGAGAACAAGGCTTACAATGGCCGTAGTTAAAGATGGAACTGACAAGGAAATTTGGTTATTTTCTGTTACAACAATTTAATATATCAGATTTTTAGGAATCATAGTCAACTTTGGGGTGCATACCAATAATACATTTATACAAATATAACTCAGAGAAAGTTAAGCATCATTTTTTATTTGCTAATGTCTTCTATATTATTTAACATATTAAATAAGCCTGATTAGGTTTATTATCTTTCTTTCAGATGTTTTCAGGGTTTCTCTGCATTTTTCCCAAAGTTAGTTTGAAGTCATAAAGACTTAATTTAGAATACAAAATTTGATTTGGGGAAGATTGTCAAATATTTCAAAGGTTTATAACACTTGATCAAAAAAAGATTATAGGTCACTGTAAATTAATAGTCATTCATTTAGCCAAAGTGATAAGTAAAACATTTTAAAAATCAAAAACCTTTGTTCACTGATAGAAAACTAAATTTTCCAAGCAATCAAAAGGCCTAATAAAGACAATGTGAGACATACAAAATCTCTCCTCTTTCTCAACCTTCCCCTTTTGCAGTTCACTCAAAGGTGAATAAAATATTTTGCTATCTTATATTAATATTACACAAAAATCTTGTTCAAAAGAAAAAAACAAAGTTAACTTTTGTAGAAATGTGTCGTTAATACTAAAGCTAATTTTAACAAAATTTTATAAACAAATCTATCTAATAGCATTCAGCATTGACCACACAAACATACCCATAAACTTTCATAACCACTTAAAATTTTTAAAAATTTCGTAGCTTTTTATATCCACTACTTTTGCCTGCCTTTTTAAAATTTTGAAACAACATCTAGATAACTCCCAAACTAAACAAAATTTATTTTCTTTCAACAAAATCCACTTCTTCATGACTTCCTTAAAACATTTTTCATCAAAAACGTGTCTTCTGTTTGTTTGTTTGTTTTTGGTACTCAGCATGTGAAATTGTTTCTCTTAATTTTAGCACTTGTAATTACATATATTAACTATAGTTTTAACTCTTTTTTTTCTTTTTTTTTTTTTTTTTTAGACTGAATCTTACTCTCTTACTCTGTCACCTAGGCTGGAGTGCAATGGTGCAATCTCGGCTCACTGTAACCTCCGCCTCCTAGGTTCAAGCAATTGTCCTGCCTCAGCCTCCCCAGTAGCTGGGATTACAGGTGCCCGCCACCACATCCAGCTAAGTTTTGTATTTTTAGTAGAGGTAGGGTTTCACCATGTTGGCCAGGCTGGTCTCGAACTCCTGACCTCAGGTGATCCGCCAGCCAAAAGTGTTGGGATTACAGGCATGAGCCACCACACCCGGCCAGTTGTAACTCTTTATAACCTTAATTTTCAGTAAAAACATAGGAAGTAAGAAATTTTAATTGTTATATACCAAAACATTTTATGAATACATATTTTATAATTTCTGGAAGCATAGGCTTGTTTGTAGAACAATTTTTTCAATGTGAAACAGATCATATTTACCAACAAATTCATATATCTTTTTCTTTAAAATAAGACAAAAGTATGTAAGCTTAAACTCATTTAGTCATTGTTGTTTTAGCATTATGTTAGATTTGGAAATAATCTAGATATTAAATGAATATCCATCATTTAATTTAGCTAAGCCTAACTCTAAGTGTACCAGTTATCAAAGAGATTTGAAAACTTTTAAGTAAACTGATAATGAAACGTAATTATTACTAAAAAGTTTATTTTGTTTAGATTTATCTAATTTACTCATTTTTAACAATTAGATTTGAATTGTTCATGAAAAATAAAGCTAGCCATTTAAATTATATTATGTTTCTCTTTTGAAAAAGCAAAACCAGGCTAATCCTGTATTCACCAGTCTTATCTTAAGCAAAGCCTGTGAGATACTGGACACAGGTACCCTCCCCAGTGTCTTCTCCAATTGTCCTGGGTTTCCACATAACACCCAGGGTAGCTATGAAGGACAGGGCTTATCTGTGTCCTAGATTTACCCACTAGGTGTAGACCCCAGGATAGAGGGCAGAGCTGTGAGAAGATGTGTGAAGGATCCAGCCCTTCCCATATGGCCAGGAGGTAGAGCTGGGCCAGGGAGGATGGGGCCATGTATGAGGCTTGGCTCTGCCCTGCAGCTTGTGGCAAAGGCACTGTGGACACATGTATGTCCCCAGGCCTCACCATGGACCCCGTCTAGAGCTCACAATCTAGAGGCTCAAAACCAAAGACACAAGCTTATAGTAAAATATGTGCAGGACTTTTGGGGAGCCCAGATGCCAGACCTCAAAACTTTACCTTACAGGTAAATCAAGCAAGTATTATAGAAATGACAGTTTTATCACCTTAATATCTATCAAAGATTGCATAAACCTGTCTGACCAGTTGCCCTAGGCAAAAATGTCTAAATTAAATTCTGAAGACATTTTCATTTTGTTTTACAAACAATTTAAAAACCACCTTTGTTTACTAAGGATTACTAAAGTTATGTGAACTTGAAAAGCACTTGGCCTTATTAATTTATGAGTGCTCATTTATTTATAAGTCAATTTGTTCCCCTGTAGATGATACACAAACACAGACAGGTACACATGTATACATAAAAATACAAATAGAAATATAAATTTCATCACTTTGGTTTTACAATTTTAGCCACAAAACAAGTAAAACTCACTAGCTTAAAATGACAGTTGGATTCAAACTATGACTTTAAATGGCACAAAGTTAATCTGGTGCACATACTAGAAGCTCTTGAGTTTTAGAGAAAATTAGGGAGAGCAAATCTACTTCTGAAAGCACAGAGAGACACTTAAGTTTTTTTTGTTTTGTTTTGTTTCTTTTGAGAGGGACTCTCGAATCTTGCTCTGTCGGGGAGGCTGGAGTGGAGTGGCACGATCTCGGCTCACTGCAACCTCCGCCCCCCGGGTTCAAGCGATTCTCCTGCCTCAGCCTCCTGAGTAGCTGGGACTACAAGTGCATGCCACCGCACCTGGCTAAATTTTTGTAGTTTTAGTAGAGATGGGGTTTCACCATGTTAGCCAGGATGGTCTCGATCTCTTGATCTTGTGATCTGCCCACCTCAGCCTCCCAAAGTGCTGGGATTACAGGCGTGAGCCACCGTGCCCGGCCAATTTTTTTTTTTTTAAGAGACAGGGTCTTGCTCTGTTACCCAGATTGGAGTACAGTGCCACAATCACAGCTCACTGCAGCCTTGGCTGCCCAGGCTCAAGCAATCCTCCCACCTCAGCCTCCTCAGCAGCTTAGACTACAGGTGAAAGCCACCATGCCCAGCTAATTTTTTTTTTTTTTTGAGGCGGAGTCTCGCTTTGTTACCCAGGCTAGAGTGCAGTGGCGTGGTCTCAGCTCACTGCAACCTCCTCCCCCCGGGTTCAAGCGATTCTCCTGCCTCAGCCACCCAAGTAGCTGGGACTACAGGCACGTGCCACCGTGCCCGGCTAATTTTTTGTTGTTGTTGTTTAAGTAGAGACGGGGTTTCACCGTGTTAGCCAGGATGATCTCGATCCCCTGACCTTGTGATCTGCCCGCCTCAGCCTCCCAAGGTGCTGGGATTACAGGCGTGAGCCACATCACCCGGCCCGACACTGTAAGTTTTCACAAGAAGGAGTTGGGTGTGTCAGAAGATGATTAAAAAGGGATGCCACAGCAACACAAAATAATAAGAATTTACAATAGGATTTTATATGAATATCAATTTTAGTTAGATAGGCAGCTTTCAGTTTAGTCTCCATTTTTCAACTGTACCACTGAAGTCAGGAGGAACAAATAAATAAATAGGGCCGATGAAGCGTTTGAAGCTTCTCAGGCCCAGTACTCACACATGTAAAAGGCAGGTACAGCTGTAAAGTGAGACACCTGGATCTCCATAAATCAAGGATTCCATTCCTGAACTGAATCCCAGGTATCCCAAAGCGGAGGCAAAAGCTCAAGAGGGAAATGCCACGAGCTGGGCTCTGTAATGCTCCGAAAGTCTGTAATGCCTCGCTGCAAGGACGTTCCCCTGAGGCTGGTGACAACCAGCCCTCTCTGTGATTAGCTCATCCCCTATAGGTTTTCTTTTCCTGATGGGAGGTGTTTCCACAGCCTCCAAATGACCAAACGGCACTGTAATCCCAGTACTTTGGGAGGCCAAGGCAGGCGGATCACGAGGTCAGGAGATAGAGACCATCCTGGCTAACGTGGTGAAACCCCATCTCTACTAAAAATACAAAAAATTAGCCTGGCATGGTGGCGGGTGCCTGTAGTCCCAGCTACTCAGGAGGCTGAGGCGGGAGAATGGCGTGAACCCGGGAGGCGGAGCTTGCAGTGAGCCGAGATCCCACCACTGCACTCCAGCCTGGGCGACAGAGCGACTCCGTCTCAAAAAAAAAAAAAAAAAAAAAAAAGCTGTAATCCTGGATCTGAGATTCCTCACTGACCAACCTAGCTAATGACTTTTCCCATACCAAATTGCCATTTATGATTAGTCTCTGTTTGACTCAGTCAGAAATCCGAGGCTTTTCTTATCTAAATATGCAAAGAAATACCTGGGATGTCCTTTCTTAGTATTTATCCACTGACTACCAATGGAAAAAAAAAGTAGAGGCTTAAAAGGGAAAATATTAATGATTTAAAAGAACTGAATGGAAGGTCATAGGTGGTACGAAGGAGGAGCAGAAGCAAATGGAAGAATAAGTCTTGGCGGAACCAGTTTGGGAAGATCATAAGCTTCCCCAAAAGACCAACGCAATACAGTTTTTTGAGCAAAAACATGTCAAGAAAGGAAACAAAGAAACCAAACATATAAACACACACGTGTATATATATATGTGTGTGTATATATATACTTCAGGCTGTGAGTGTGTGTGTGTATAAAAGATTTCATATAAATATATATATTGGCTTTTAATAATATCAGCTTTTAATTAAGCTGACTTCTGATCATAGAGCCCTTAAAACAACAACTTCAAAAAAACCCACAAAACTTTGCATCTCTTACTATTCTTACGCAGCCTAAACAAACCGTCAATATTCCTAGCTTTTGAACTTTCTTTTTGTTAAACCAAAGGTATCTACCTAGTGACTCAGAAACAAAATTAAGTTTTTTTGACTTAACCAAGAACACATGAGATGTCTCCAAAGAGGTACAAAGAAGTAGTCTTCACAGGATCCAGAGCCATCCCCAAAAACTTCTAAAGAAAAAAAAAAACAAGACTTAGAGATGAACAGGAAAAACAACCACTGTGCATTGGAGGCAAAGGATCAATAACACATGAGTACCCCAAAAAGTCAAGAGGCAAACAATATAAATTGAAAATAAATAATTCGAACCAATTCTTGTAAGTGTTTCATTTTTATCCTGAGTTAAAGGATTTTCGTCTTCAGGGGACTAATTCCCTGACCAGGAATCAAACCCAGGCTGCAGCAGTGGAAGTGTAGAATCTTAGCTACTGGAGTACAAGCTGGAGTGGCCTTCATTGCAGATATGCAGGGGATCCAGAGCTAGTAGTTTGAGCATGCAAAGGATTTTAACTTGTTTTAGATCTGATTTCTGCTTTAAAGAAAATCTTGCCAAGGGAGTTTTTATGGTTATATTTCTGCTGTATATTTTTATAGGTACCAATAAGATAGCTGTTTAAGATGAGAGCTCTCTACAATTTTTTTTAATGTAGTCAATTTATGTATTCCATGAGTGATTCAAGCCAATAAGTCTTTCACAGAAAGTCACAGAGGTAACTTTCCAGGTTTAGAATACCATGGACAAGTCCTGATTTATAAAAATGAATATGGATTTTCTAATTATATAACCAGATCCTCATTTAAAACCCATATTGTCTTGAAGTCCATAATCTACAGTTGGTTTGCCAAGGTTGATTTAAATAACCAATGAAACCATTATAAATATAAAAAATTTTTCTAAGTCAATTCTATTAGGTGAACCCAATATGTTTTATTTATATACAGCTGGAAAACATTATTACTGCCTAACAACCCTCTCCTAATTTTCCATCCAATAAATATCCTCCTGTTCACCATTCAAATGCTTAATCAAAATATAAGATTAATCAACAGTATTTTACAATCAAAGAAGGACTGAAACTCTTTTGGGGTATATGAAAATCAAAGCAAGTTTGAATCAAATAAGATCAGAAAACAAAACGAAAAAACTGCCTACAAATTTTATAATTGTGGATGTGGATGTGTGTGTGCACATGTGTGCATGTATGTATGTGTCATGTATCTGAATTTACACTAGCTCTTAATTTATAATGAAAATAAAATTATCCTCATTATTTCTTTTTTCCTTAATTGAAGAGGCATTCCCTGCACACATACAAAACCTGTACCTTTGTAATTTTTGACTTTTAATTTCTTAGACAAAAATGCCTGCCATTTCCCCCAAAGCAATATGTACTTGCAGTTATTAATTCACATAAATTCACTCCATCCCTTAAAATTGATTTTGTGAAATTAAATCACATACTTTTATATTTAGTTAAATTTTGAAAAAGGTAATATATTAAACTGTATTATTTGAATTATTTAATGATTTGCTGCTAACGTGATTTGGCCACAATATGGTAACCTCATCTGAAAAATATATTTTTTTTGGTTTTCAACATGCACCCCTATACTTGACATCCACAATCATCCAAAATGAATATCACCATCATCTGAATCAGATTTCTTCTCCAGTATAGGTATTATGCATTAAGAAGCCAAGAGCCCAAGAGTTCAATTACTATTCTTATTTTGCAACCTCTCAGACTTAAACTCAATGTACGATGTACATATCTTCCAGGCACTGTTACATCAAGCAAACATCAGTTGTCACTTGTTGGGACCATTAACTAGACAAGTCCAAAACAAAACTCAGAACAGAGAGGACATGTCGTGCATTCTATAAATTATGTGTTCTGAGAACCTATTAAAGCTGACAGCGAAGGGGGCCTGCTATTGGTGAGCACCTGATTATACCTTGTACTTTATTCCCTGTTGACTTTGGTTATGCCATACCTTTCCATTTCCTGGAGAAATAAATTAAAAGTCAGAAGTAATTTGCCTGACAGAGGGTGCAGGTGGAATTTTGTTCAGAACAGCCTTTGCACACTGTGAAATCCAATTTAACCCCTTGATGGGGGACAGCTTATTTTCTTTTGTTGACAGCTTTGTGGCAGCTAAAATAGGGACCTGATTAAACAGAGACAGTGAGAGATTGAGGTCTTGTTCTAACAGCAGGGGGATCAAGGCCTCTAATCTTATCTCCCACAGCACTGAGATGAACTGAGGAAGTAGGCGGGAGAGATTAGTCCAGGTATTTTGAGCGATAGAAGGGGAAAATGCTAAGGAGGGAAAATATAGGTAAAAAGGGATATGAACAACAATTTTTAAAATAATAAATGTATATTAGGAATTGAAAATAAAAAAGTCTAGACTGCAGTAAAAGAAAAAAAGAAAAAGAGTCCTAAGTTAGCTGTTTGAAAAGGTGAGCTTTGTGTAGTTTTATCCTCTGATGATTGTTTCTTTAAAGGTGGGTGCTTTTTAAAAGTAAAATATTGTAAATTTGAAATGTATCTAAGACAATACAATATCATTTGGTTCTATTTGTGTGTTGCATTGCCTAATAAATTATTATTTACACTCATATTCACCACATTTAAGTGAAACCTAACAAATATACAATGTCTGTTTCATTAATTCAGAATTATTTATTTATTTATTTTTTTGATGGAGTCTCGCTCTGTCGCTCAGGCTGGAGTGTAGTGGTGCCATCTCAGCTCACAGCAACCTCCGGCTCCTGGGTTCAAGCAGTTCTCCTACCTCAGCCTTCCTAGTAGCTGGGATTACAGGCATGCACCACCATGCCCAGATAATTTTTTTGTAATTTTTTTTTTTTGGTAGAAACGGTGTTTCACCATATTGGCCAGGCTGATCTTGAACTCCTGACCTTGTGATCTGCCCACCTCAGCCTCCCAAAATGCTGGGATTACAGGCATGAGCCACCATGCCCGGCTCAATTCAGAATAATTTATTATGGATCCACCAAGTCCTATAAATAGTATTCATCTGAGATTAATATTAATCTTTTATAAAATTACTTTGTCAATGTTATCCAGAATGTGGAACATAAATTGTATCACTTGCTAATTGTTATACATTTTGAAATTTCTGTAGGTCTAAGTAAGTGCTTTTACTGAGGGTTCAATCTAGGGTAGAAGACCCTAACTGTTTTTCTCAAAGAATACTCAAAATCATATTTTTCCTTTAGGTATATATATGATTGCTTCCTACCTGGCCTTAGCTGGGGCTGTGCCATTTGCTTCCATGTGCTTTTTGCAGTATATCCCCTGTGAGGCGCTTCCCTATACCATATCTAGTGTTGTCTGTTAATTGATGGAGTTGGAGGGTGAGTCAGGTCAGAATTTTTACTTTAGTGTCTTCATATCTACAGAACGTGAACAAGTATTATGTAGATATAGATTCAGATACATGACACACATACACATGCACACATGTGCACACACATCCACATCCACAAATGGTTCACTGGTCAATAGATTTGAGAAAAACTTTGTTAAGTATGTGCACACACTTCGATTTTAAAGGATCTAAGAAGTCCTGTGGGAATGTGAGTGGCAGCTCTTTAAGAAACTGAGTGGATTAAGTAGCATTTCCTTAACTAATTTTACCATGGAATCCCTTTCGAAGAACACCTCTCAGCACTGGTGTGGGAGGTCACTCACTTCATACCCAGAGGTCCTTCCACTTTGGAGATACGCAGGTCTTAAGTGGCCTTCTCTTAGTATAGCCTAGGGTTGTTACCCTAACCTGTACTTATAAATGAGGGACACACAGAAATATGCATAAAATTGTTACTCAGGTGATGGATCTTTCTGTCCCTTCCTTCCTTCCTTCCTTCCTTCCTTCCTTCCTTCCTTCCTTCCTTCCTTCCTTCCTTCCTTCCTTCCTCTTTCTTTCTCTCTCTCTCTCTCCCTTCCTTCCTTCCTTCCTTCCTTCCTTCCTTCTTTCTTTCATTTCCTTCTTTCCTTCTTTCTGTCTTTCTTTCTTTCTCTCTCTCTCTCTCTCTTTCTCTCTCTCTCTCTCTCTCTTTCTCTCTCTCTCTCTCTCTCTCTTTCTTTCTTTCTTTCCTTTTTTGATGGAGTCTCACTGCCTTGCCCAGGATGGAGTGCAGCGGTGCAATGTCAGCTCACTGTAACCTCCGCCTCCTGGGTTCAAGCCATTCTCCTGCCTCCTGAGTAGCAGAGACTACAGGCATGCACCACCATGCCCCACTAATTTTTTTGTATTTTTAGTAGAGACGGGGTTTCACCATGTTGATCAGGCTGGACTCGAACTTCTGACCTCAAATGATCCACCCACCTCAGCTTCCCAAAGTGCTGGGATTACAGGCATGAGCCACTGCGCCCAGCCTGGTGATGAATATTTCTTGACACATTTTCACATATTTTCATCTAATATACTTTCTACTTTCTGAGTTTCTGGGGCAAATCTTCTTTTCTCACATAAGCTTTCAAGTGACTCGACTTCAGCTCTTGTCTTTTTCAGCTTTGCTTTTCAACTACTAATTTTTTCAGAACAAATGACATGATTTTATGGGAAATTTACCTTTCTGAAGATTCTCTTGTGGGCATTTGGGAGTACATGTACATTTCTATATTCAGTTGTTTCGTTCAGGGATTTTGCAAAATGGCATATTACATACTATGTGCAATTTTACCCCCATGTTATTGAGCTATTGAGTACAGCAAGAGTGAAATAAATGTGAGGGTGTCACACATATGCTTTTATAACTTCACCAAAATAGGTGAGCTAAGGTGCCAGAGTGTCAAGAGGCCTGAGATGTTGTAAAATGGAGTGAGTAGGAATTTTGTTTTTTAATGTTGAAAGATTGTGACACTTCTCCAAGCCTCAGAATTCCCATCCCATATGGATGTTATAAAAATTAAATAAGATGCCTTACCTAAAGCCTACATATTATAGGGCCTCTATATTCATTCACTATCTCATTTTTCCACTGTTTAGGCCAGTCTTGTTGAAGTCAAATTTCTTGTTTATACCGAAGTGTTTCTGGGATGAGAATTTAACCTCCAAAGACACTTAAAATTTCTGTGGCTCCCTCGAATCAAATACAGAAGCTGTATAATCATATTTAATATATTTCCCTTCAGACAGGGTGGTAGATACTGATAATCAACTAGCTTAAATTACATTTGATCCATCTTCAAGCAAGCAATGGTGGGAAAGTTTAAAACTACATTTCCTATATTCCCAGACAGAGGGGGAAACTCTGTTAGTTTAGGTTCTGCCAATCGAATAAGCCTGACTTAAATTTGATCTGGGACAAGTCAGGTAAAGAGGCAGGGAAGGAGACATTAATTCTTTTCTGTTACATATTATGGTCCAGAAGACATATGTTTATGGAGCTGGTAGCCATGTCAGGGATTCATTCAGCAGATAACTTTCTCATTCTGCAGCTTCCTCATTCAGGGACAGCAGCTCCTTCAGTAAACTCCTTCTACATTGTTGCTTGTGAAGTCATTACTAGAAGCTCAGCTAGGAACCTATGTCTTCAGGCTTTCCAACAATTCTTAAGCCAGCTTTTTTGTTTTGTTGTGCTTTTATTTTCATTTTATTTTATTTTTGAGACGGAGTCTTGCTCTGTCGCTAGGGTGGAGTGCAGTGGCATGATCTCGGCTCACTGCAACCTCTGCCTTCCAAGTTCAAGCGATCCTCCTGCCTCAGCCTCCTGAGTAGCTGGGGCTACAGGCGTGCGCCACCACACCCAGCTAATTTTTGTATTTTTAGTAGAGATGGGGTTTCACCATGTTGGCCAGGATGGTCTTGATCTCTTGACCTCATGATCCACCCACCTCGGCCTCCCAAAGTGCTGGGATTACAAGCGTGGGCCACCACGCCCGGACTTTATTTTTATTTTTTATTTATTTATTTTTTTGAGACAGAGTTTCACTCTTGTTGCCCAGGCTGGAGTGCAATGGTGCGATCTCGGCCCACTACAACCTTTGCCTCCTGGGTTCAAGCAATTCTCCTGCCTCAGTCTCCCAAGTAGCTGGGATTACAGGCACCCGCCACCATGCATGGCTAATTTTTTGTATTTTTAGTAGAGACAGTTTTGCCATGTTGGCCAGGCTGGTCTTGACCTCCTGACCTCAGGTGATCCACCCTCCTTGGCCTCCCAAAGTGTTGGGATTACAGGCATGAGCCACCACGCCCAGCCTGCTGTGTTTTTAAAATGTGATAAGTCCCCTTATGATTAATAGTATATATTGTGTCCACTGTTCTCTGATACAGAAGATAGTAAGACTACTGTAATTCAGATTGTTGTTGTTGTTCAAATGCTCAGTGAAGATGGAAGATGAAAGTATTTTCAGGGAAGAAACATACCACAATTCTGACAGTCTAGTCTTGTATAAAATGCGGGAATGACTTTGCTATGTTAATTTTCTCTTCTCAAGATCCTTAGCTTAATCACATCTGCAAAGACCCTTTTTTTTCAAATAAGATAACATTTACCGGTTCCAGGAATTAAGATGTGTATATCTTGGGGGAGGGGGTATTTTCTAGCCTTTTATAAAAGGGATTGAATTTAAGGAAATCATTGTTTTTCAGACTGCTTTCCTCAGAGAGCATCTAAGGGTTTCTTAGGGAGATACTAGAAACAAGTGTGAATCTGACCTCAATTATCATTGCTTCAAAATCCTATCGAAACTTCTCCTCTTTTCATTTAATAATTTGTTTGTACAAAGTTTATCATGGTAGAAAGACCTTTCAAGACTCAGAGAGAGCACCTAAATTGCTATAACTCATGATCATCAACATGAATTCTGAAACAGAGTTTTCTGATTCCCAAGCCTGCAAGTACTTTTTACCAAATGAAAAGTTGATGTCGAATATACATGAGGATGTATTAAGCTGAGCCGATTAAGAGATACTCTCTTACTGAAAATAAAGTCTCTCTCTAGGGAAGAAACTCACTGATTAAATGGTTATGAAACAAAGATCCATTTGTGGTGATTAATCACAAGGTCACAAAAATGTGAGTTCAAAGTCCAATTCAAATTCCATACTGTAAACTTCACTCTAAGCAATAATTTCTGTCATCAGTAAATGATTTTATCACATTGCCATTTCTTTTTCTGCTCAAAATTGTGTTGTTTATGTTCGTTCTTTGAGCCTTTTTGAAATTATTTGCTTTCAGGGCAAGTTTTCACCAAGGGGAGTGAAGATAATGACTACTCTTGTGGTCAGAATGTTTTAAAAACAGAGAAACATTTGCTTCGTGGTTTTGATAACCACATTTGCTACCTGTGCCTCGGGTCATTCTGACATATGCAGGAAGAAAGCAATGTTTAACAAGAGATGACTAGAGATGACACTATTTTACCACTCTTCCTCCTAACTCTTATGATAGGAAATGAAAAGAGGAACGACAATAGAAAGGCAGGGAACACTATTCTGGAGGAAAAAAAAAAAGTCCATGTTTCACAGTAACATCCTCTCAGCTGACATGAGTGCTTTGTAGAGTTTCTGCCACATGAGTTTCTGGAAGGTTTTGAAAGTATTGGTGGCCAAAGAAAAATTGCTTTCCTGCGGGAACCCTAACAAAAGGAGTTCTTCAAAATGAACCCGTGTACCACTTCTGTCCCAACCAGTCGTTGAGTGCTATGTAGCTCTAAATGCCGATGGGGTAGAAAATTTTAACCTGAGATAGAAGCATTGCTCAGACTTCACGGAGAAGATTGACAGCAGATATTCACTTAGAGCAGCTCTCCTTACACTTCATTGAGTAAATTGCAGAGAAGCACAGGACAGCGAGGGAGATGTGGCTAGTGCTTGTAGATGTACCAGCAATTTATGATCATAGCCTCTTGAGTGCAATGGTAGGTGTTAATAGGAAAGTAATATTAATATTTATTCATTATACTATGATATTATTAGGATTTTCTCACTGACTCTTTACAATACTATCAGGAAGTAGATATCATTATTCTCTTTTGCAGCAAGAAATTGAGAAACAAGGAAGGTGCGTAATGCAAGTAATGCTTAAAAAACTCAATCCAATTCTGACTGATTCTTATTCTATAAGTCAAAAAACATAAGAAAATAGTATTTTAAGTCTCATAAGATATCATAATAATTTTCCAATCTGTCTCTTTGTTATCATTATTGGTTTTATGCATAGTTTTACATTGCATTCTTTTATTTTTTGTTTTTTGATAGAGTCTTGCTCTGTCACCCAGGCCAGAGTGCAGTGGCACGATCTTGACTCACTGCCACATCTGCCTACCATGCTCAAGTGATTCTCTTGCCTCAGCCTCTCAAATAGCTGAGACTACAGACCTGTGCCACCATGCCTGGCTAATTTTTGTATTTTTAGTAGAGACAGGGTTTTACCATGTTGGCCAGGTTGGTCTTGAACTCCTGACCTCAAGTGATCTGACAGCCTCAGCCTCCCAAAGTGCTGGGATTACAAGAGTGAGCCACTTCACCCAGTGAATATAAAAGAATTTCTTTGCAAACTCAAATGCAACTGCATTGTGAAGTCTACCCCTCCAGATTGCCAAAAATGTGTTTTCTTTATGTTTGCCTTCATCAGAAAATAAAATAATACAGACACCTCATTCTTTATAAAGCCAACTTGCTTTGAGTAACGGTTTTAAAAATAGAAAACAAATTGATATTCTTCGTTTTTCTAGTAAATCTTAGTGTTTGCTGCTACAATATTTAGTGGGAAATTGTGTTCTTTTCCCCATCATATTCTTTACTGATGCTAACGAGACAAGATAGGAATGACAAAACACCTTGAGTAACTCTCCAAGCAATACATATCTTGAAGACTATAGACTAAGCTATATACAAAATCAATCTATTTTTTTTCTGCATGACTCTGTGGATCTGTCTTTTCTTGCAAAGATATTAATTGGGCCAAAGGGGCTTTCAGGAAGTGGTTTAGTGGGACTAAACATCTATCAACAAATATTTATGAAGTGCCTACTTTGTAAAGTATTGCCTTGTGAACATTTTGCAAAATTCTTGCTGTACTGCTACATTGTTTGTATGTTACAGAAAAAGATGGTAAGAGGAGTTTAAACTGAGAAATTCACTTTTTGTGGTCTGTTCACAATCTTTCCCACTGTGTCAGTATTAATAACTTCAGAACTATGGCCCTACAGCTTGGTGGAAGGAAAAAAGAGAAGTAATTAATTTACAGGGAAGGGACATGAGCAGGAACATAGAAAACTGAGGGAGAAAAAAGTAATCTGAAAATGAAGGTGTAGAAGACATTTGCTGTTTCCCTTCCCTTCCTATTGAGACCTACATTTTACTATGTAGATCTCATTTACTACATTTTACTATGCTCATCTCATGTTAGTTGGAGTTAAGTTACAGGCCTGTAGCATATTACCCCAAGCCAAGTATATCAGAGACCCAAATGCTGCTGGCAATGGAAATTCGTTCAGTGATCAGTATACATGTAATGTAAGCAATTAAATCAGAGTGAAACTCATTGGTTTTGGAAGGACTAATAGAAAGAGGAGCTCCTTTCTCAAAGGTACTTCTATCTACGAGGATTTAAAGATAATGCTACTTTAGTCATCTTGCCATCATTTTCAGCCTGAGAATAAAATTAATACAAGGTAAAGAGGACAGTATATCCAATACCAATAGATTAGTTCCTAATGCCATCAACCAAGGCACTGAATCCAGCACTTACCCTGAACTTTTTAACCCCTGGGCCCAGTGGCCATTGGCCAGTATATTTTTTGTTTTGTTTTTTGATTAATGTAGTTTAATTGATTTTCTGTCACTTATAACTAAGAGATTAATAATTCAGAGAGGAAGAACAATAATTAGAGTGCAAACACAATAAGAAGTTAGAACCCAGATCAGTCCCAGGCAATGATCTGAAGCACAGTTTCAGAGTTGCATTGTAGAAGTCGAGTGCAGGTGGAGGTCAGAGAAGGGAGGTTCCTCCAGAAAATATCCAGGGATAAAAATCCCAGTCCTAAGATATGAAATTGTAAGGAACAGGAAAGAAATAGACCCTCAGGTACTCTACTAGGATCTTAGGCAAAAGCTTAGGTGGGACATGCAAGTAACCTGACTCCTGTGTAGGAAGTTAGAAGCAGTAGGTATGTAACCACCCAATGGGTTCACCTTGCCCGCTGCCCAGACAGAGCCAATTTATCAAGACAGAGGAATTGCAATAGAGAAAGAGCTATTCATGCAGAGCTGGCTGTGCGGGAGACTGGAATTTTATTATTACTTAGATCAGTCTCCCAGAGCATTCGGGGATCAGAGTTTTTAAAGACAATTTGGTGAGTGGGGAGGGGCAGTGAGTCAAGGAGTGCTAACTGGTTGGGTCAGAGATGAAATCACAGGGTGTCACTGTCTTGTGCTGAGTCAGTTTCTGGGAGTGGGGTAAGTGTCACAAGAACAGATGAGCCAGCTGATGGATCTGGGTGGTGCCAGTTGATCCATCAAGTATAGGGTCTGCCAAACATCTCAAGCACTGATCTTAGGAGCAGTTTAGAGAGGGTCAGAATCTTTTAGCCTCCAGCTGCCTGACTCCTAAACCATAATTTCTACTTGTTGGCCGATGGTAGTAGTCTAGTCCCCAGGCAAGAAGGAGGTTTGTTTGTGGGAAAGGGCTGTTATTGTCTTTGTTTTAAACTATAACTTACAAACTAAGTTCCTCCCAAAGTTAGTTCAGTCTATGCCCAGGAATGAGCGAGGACAGCTTGGAGGTTAGAAGCAAGATGGAGTTGGTTGTTAGTTCTATTTCAGTGTCTTAGTCATAATTTTGCAAAAGCGGTTTTAAGTATTCACAAATTATTGTCACAAATATTTTTAATTCTGTTGACACTGTAAAATGTAATGTAAAATTGTCTCTGAATTATTTCCAGAAGAGAGGAGTTGCTGATTTCAGAGATAAGAAGAGCTTTTTTATTTTATTTTTTTGAGAAAGGGTCTTGCTCTGTCACCCAGGCTGGAATACAGTGGCACAATTTTGGCTCACTGCAACCTGCATTTCCCAGGCTCAGGTGATCCTCCTGCCTCGGCCTCCCGACTAGCTGAGACTACAGGCACACGCGACCATACCTGTCTAATTTTTGTAATTTTAGTAGAGACAGGGTCTTACTATGTAGGCCAGGTTGGCCTCAAACTCCTGACCTCAAGTGATCGGCCTGCCTCAACCTCCAGAAGTGCTGGGATTACAGGTGTGAGCCACCACCCCCAGCCTCAGAAATAAGAAATACTTTGATACTCCCTTTGGAATAGAAGGTAAGTCCAAGAAGGATTTTCAAAAACACAGGTAACGGGGCCAGGCACAATGGCTCACACTTGTAATGTCAGCACTTTGGGAGGCTGAGGCAGGCAGATCACTTGAGGTCAGGAGCTCGAGACCAGCCTGGCCAATATGGTGAAACTCCGTCTATGCAAAACCCACAAAAATTTGCCAGGCATGGTGGTGAACCTGTGATCCCAGCTACTTGGGTGGTTGAGGCATGAGAATTGCTTGAACCTGGGAGGTGGAAGTTGCAGTGAGCCAAAGTCGTGCTGCTGCACTCCAGCCCAGGTGACAGAGCAGGAGACCCTGTCTAAGAAAGAAAGAAAGAAAGAAAGAGAGAGAGAGAGAGAGAGAGAGAGAGAGAGAGAGAGAGAGAGAGAGAAAGAAAGAAAGAAAGAAAACAAAACAAAACACCACAGGTAATGAAGGGATGATGAAACTCCATGCATTTAAAAAAAAAAAAAAAAGGGTATGTGTGCTTTTATGCCTATACAGCTGAAAGTGAGGAAAGTGGAAGTGAGAAGAATGAGGAGTAAGACAGGTTCTTTGAGGTTATTTCTATATGTGAAATTGGACAGTAGAAATTTGCTTATGGGGTAACTTAAATTCTCAATGCTTCATGTTCAACTCAAACTTCTTGGTTGTGTTTTGCTTAAATTTCTCTTTCACTTTTACCCCCAAATCATCACTAATTCAGTCTGCTATGTTAATAAATGCTTTATGAAGATGCTATTCTTTGTTATATTTGCTCCAAAATTGTAGTTATGTTCTACCTCTCATGAGTGTGGACCACAGAGTCAGACATGAACAGAGATAGTCTAAAACTAATTTTTTAGAAATTTCTGGCCAGGCACGGTGGCTCACACCTGTAATTCCAGCACATTGAGAGGCCGAGGTGGGCAGATGACCTGAGGTCAGGAGTTTGAGACCAGCCTGGCCAACATAGTGAAACCCCGTCTCTACTAAAAATACAAAAAAGTCAGCTGGGTGTGGTGGCAAACACCTATAGTCCCAGCTACTCGGGAGGCTGAGGAATGAGAATTGCTTGAACCTAGGAGGCAGAGGTTGCAGTGAGCTGAGATAGCGCCACTGCATTCCAACCTGGGTGACAGAGCGAGACTCTGTCTCAAAAAAATAAAAAAAATTGTATGAAATTAAAGTTTAAGGTAGGGTGATAATTCATCTCAGTTCCCCTGGAACAATTCTAGTTTGCCTATTTTGTCCTAGAAAATTATTAACAATTCCTTTTTTGTTAAATTAAATATAAGCAGGAGGTCACTAGTCTGAGGCTTATTCTGTACTTTGAGTTCCTATATAACAAACTACAACCTAACTTCGGATGTCAACAAACTAAAACCAAACTCAGGAGTATTATTTTTAATGAAACTCCAAGTTTCAGCCAATCACAAATAGCTGAGCTTCAGCCAGTCACAGGTAACCAACTGCTCACACCATGCCCAAACAAGGCAGACACCTAGTTGTGGCCAATCATCTACTTTGCTTTTATTCAACCTATAAAAGCTTACTGCTCACACTGCTGGGCTGGGATCTTTGAACCTCTTCTGGTTCTGAATACTGCCTAATTCATGAATCATTCTTTCCTCAAATAAACTGGTAAATTTAATTTGCCTAAGGTTTTTCTTTTAATACTTTTCACTTTCATATTTGTTGCAATTTGTAAAATAAAGTATATGGACATCCAAATTCACGCCCATCTTATGTAGATTTCAAAAGTCTGAGGAAAGATCTCTTGAAAATTTCACATACAAATAACTTAGAATGCTAGAATGCTTGTTCCATAATCATTTCTTGATAATAATAATGTCATGTAATATTTTATCACTCACATTCTCTAATGTTCAAACTCTTCATTTATAGAATGGGAAACCTATAATAATTGAGCTACCTACTCAATTATTTACTGATGTGTTCACTCAGTCACTTACTTAAACACACTCTCATTCTCTTTTTACCAGTTCATACAATTATCAAAAGGATGCTCCATACTTGGAGTAATGCTAGAATCTGAGGATGAAAAGGTTAATCAGAAATCATTCTTGCCTTCAAGCGACTCATGGTGTAAGGGGAAGGGACATGAGTGGAGAAATAAATTGAAATGTGCAGTATACCAAATTTGCAGAACAGACGATAATATAAATAACAGCATTGATTCCAAGATAAATTAAATATGTTTTGACAAAAGTCAATTTCAGGATCATGAACATGAACATGTATGTCATGTATAATTTCTTTCTTTTTTAAAAAATAATTTAACCACAGTTCTCAGTGAGTCTCTTCTTTCTAGTAAAGGGACATACTTGCAGGGCTCAAAAATTTATTTCAGAGAAATTATAGGTGTAATTGTCTATTGATTTCTGAATTCTCAAAAAGGAATATCACAGGATTATGTCAAATATGGCATTGTTTGTGATTCTCATATGCATCAACGCTCCCAGAAGTATATTTTATGCCACTACTAAAGACAGTTTGTAACAAAAATAATAGATGTTTCACCTCTGATTTCTTTAGATTAATCATTTATACAGAGCATACACACACACACACACACACACACACCATTTGCAAAATTAACCAAGGGAATTCAGGATTGAGATCATGGGGTCATAGCACATCTGCTTTAATCAGTCCTTGGCCCAGAGAAATTAGAAAAAACACATTTATATACACATTTCTTATACATAAAAAATTCTTTAAATAATTTATAAAATGGATAATGCAGAACTTTACTCAATACACACTTACATGAATAAATGAAGGATGAAATCTTAAATGTTGACTTAAGTAGCTTTACAGCTTTGTGATAATGCAAATTTTGTCAAACCTCTATGAGGTTACATTTCTTAATCTTTTAAGCAGCCCTATGATTATATTGCCTGAAAGATCTGTGTGTGTGTGTGTGTGTGTGTGTGTGTGTGTGTGTGTGTGTGTATACTGAACTTGATTCCTGGGATAAAAGAAGATCCTCAATAATTGGGAGCTATTGTATAGGGTTAGCATTTTGATTTTTTTTTTTAATTGAGTAGAGATTGTAAGATAATATGCCATGGATACAGGTCAAAGTCTAAACCTTTTTTTGGTCCTGGTACTATATTGATGTAGGATTTTTCTTCTTGGTCACTTTGCAAGCCAGGGAACCCTGGCCAGCAATGCCCCACCTGGATATCACTTGGCCTTGCTGGCATGCCCCAGCTTGCCTGTGTCATAGCTTGTACCTGTGTTCAGTGGTGCCCAATCTCTTATATCATGCCCAAGAAGAATAAGGATATGCTAGACATTGAAGGGTGATTAGGGCAAAGAAGAATTTTATTGAGTGACTGAACAGCTCTCAGCAGAGAGGAGACACAGGGAGTGGTCTGGTCCCCAGCCCCTGCAGTTGGGCAGTTCTCTCTGTCTCATCAACTGAGTCTGGGGTCTTTATAAGCATAGGATGGGGAGTGCATGCTGATTGGTTTGTGAGTGTGCAAAAAAGGTTAAAACGAAGCCATCACCCAAAGGTGAGCATGATACTGCAAAAAAGCAATTAGGAAAGGGTAGGTATATGTAAAATAAGAAGGGTGGGGATCAATCAAGGGAAAGTGCATCAAACAGGAAGACAAGTTCTCAATCTGGTCTGAGGATTTAACCTGTAGCTTGGCTTTCAGACTTTAAACTGTCTTTGGCTTGGAGGTGGAGATTCACTGGGCACCCATCCCTATCTGTCTAGGCATTTGGCTGCCCCCTATCACTATCAATATCAAATTTGTTTTACCAAAAAGACCAGTAAAGATTAATGGCATGGCCTAATGCCTTCAACTTTCTGTTAAGAGGGCTAGGTAAGAAAACATTATAGATGTGATACTTAGAAATCCAGTGTTTTAACAGGTTCTTCATTTGGTTTCTGGCCTTGTCTCCTGTTTTCCTACCCTTTACCTGTCCCCTTTACCTGTCCCATTTCCTCTTGCATTCTCTTTACAAACTACTTTATACCCTTTCCTCTCGCTAATTACCTCTGCCTGAAATGGCCTTCTTGCTTTATTTTAATGAGATAAACTCAAAATTCCTATCTGTCCTGTAAGAAGCTGCTAAAGTGAGCCAAGATCGCACCACGGCACTCCAGCCTGGGCGACAGTGCGAGACTGTCTAAAAAAAAAAAAAAGAAGCTGCTAAAACACTACTGCTTCTACAAAGCCTCCTATAAACTTCTAGGAAGCCATAGTCACTGCTTTGAAACCAAACTGTATCTTTTAACTACCTCTGCAGTAGCACTCAGTTTACAATAACCTTCCTAGGTTTCTCTGTCTACTACTTAATAATGAACTTTTGAAAGGTGGTGAATGCTTCTTGAAATGGATGCTAAATCCTTTTTTAATCAAATGTTCTTCAGATTTGCCATAGTGAAATTTTTAATCATTTATATTCTGAATTCAGCACAGCACATTCAAGAGCCTTGATTAGTGAAGGTGAGTACGTGAATGAATGGGTCACCATTGTAATATAAAGCATCTGTTGAAAGTGTAGTAATATTTTCATTTTATCTGCTAATTTTCACAAAACTCAAGATGCCGTTAGTTGTAAAATACAACACCATGACATTATGTACAAAATAAATAAATATTTGCCAAGTGTACTCTAATACCATGCTTTTTCAACACTTGGAATAATTTTAATAAGTTCTTATAGACATTTGTAGAATTTCGTAGACAAATTCACTTTCATCATCTCTGTTTCTCTCTCTCTCTCTCTAGTATGAAATGTATTAGAATTTAGGCATTTATACATCATCTTCAGATTCAGAGGCAGACCCTTCGAAGCTCTTTGAAAATTTATTTAGAACTGTTGGTGCTTATTTATTATTAGTCAGTATCATCCTTTATGTCATCAAAAGTGCTGGTCATGTGTTTTCTAACATTCTCTCCTTTAATACAACACAAATGTTACATTTTCTAAAAGAGGGGCTTCACTAGTAACTCTGGGATTTGCTTACAAGCTGCTGAATCCAATTTGTGTGTGTGTGTGTGTGTGTGTGTGTTTAATGAGTTGAAGTTCACATAACATCAAATTAACCATTTTAAAGTGTACCATCAGTGGCACTTAGTATATTTATAATGCTGTGCCACCACCACCTCTGTCTACTTCTGAAACATTTTCATCATCCAAAAGAAAACCGTACTCATTAAGCAGTCTCTCTCCATTGCTCCTTTCCTCTATCCCCTGGCAAACACAATCTTCTTTCTGTCCCTATGGATTTACCTATTCTAGATATTTCACATAAAGAGTTGTATGATATATAACTTTTGGTGTCTGCGTTTTTTCACTGAGCAAAATGTTTTCAAGGTCCATCTACACCATGGCATGTATCAATTCCTCCCTTTCCCTCCCTCCCACCCTCCCTCCCTTCCTTCCTTCCAATTATCTTTTTTTCTTACAGAGTCTCACTCTGTTGCCCAGGCTAAAGTGCAGCAGTGGAATATCAGCTCACTGCAACCTTCGCCTCCTGTGTTCAAGTGATTCTTATGCCTCAGCCACCCAAGGAGCTGGGATCACAGGTGTGCACCATCATGCCTGGCTAATTTTTGTATTTTTTTTTTTTTTTTTTGTACAGCTGGGGTTTTGTCATGTTGGCTAAGCTGGTCTCGAACTCCTGGCCTCAAGTGATCTACCTGCCTTGGCCTCCCAAAGTGCTGGGATTATAGACGTGAAACACTGTACCTGGCCAGTACTTCATTTATTTTTATGACTGAATAATATTCCATTATGTGTACATACCACAATTTATCTATTCATTAGTTAATGAACATTGGGTTGTTTTTATCTTTCAGCTATTGTAAATATTGCTGCTATAAATGCATGTGTATAAGTATTTGAGTACTTGTTTGCAATTGTCTTGAGTATGTAGCTAGGAATGAAACTGCTGGGTTACACGGCAATTCTATATTTAACTTTTTGAGGAACTGTGGAACTGTTTTCAACAGTGGTTATAGCATTTTAGATATCTCCAGCAGCATACAAGTCTTCAAATTTCTTCACATCTTTGCTAACATTTGTCATTAGTATCCTATTTTTTTTTTTTTTTTTTTTGAGACACAGTCTTGCTCTGTCGCCCAGGCTGGAGTGCAGTGGCATGATCTCAGCTCACTGCAACCTCCGCCTCCCAGGCTTAAGCGATTCTCCTTCCTCAGCTTCCCTGTAGCTGGAATTACAGGCATGCACAACCATGCCCAGATGATTTTTGTATTTTTAGTAGAGATGTTGGCCAGGCTGTTTTCGAACTCCTGGCCTCAAGTGATCTGCTCACCTCAGCCTCACAAAATTCTGGGATTACAGGTGTGAACCACTGTGCCTGCCCAGCATCCTGTATTTTTGACAATGTAGTTTGAATTGATAACAACTTAGCTTCAACAACATGCAAATTCTCTGCTCCTATACAGCTGTGCTCCCTCTTTATATTGTTATTGCTACAGTTTCCATTTGTAGATACTGTGTGTTCATTGACATAGATTCATAATTATTGTTTAATGCATTTAAAAAAATCACATGTGAAAGAAAAAGAGGAGTTACAAAGCAAACAACCCAATAACAATAGCTTTTATATTTTGCTATGTAACTAGCATTGTTTATTTCTTCCTATGGCTTCAAGTTAAATACAGTGCTCTTTCATTTTAGCCTGACTCCCTTTAGCCTTTCTTATAGGATAGACATACTAGCAAACGAATGCTCCCAATTTTCTTTTTCTGGGAGTGTCTTTATTTTGACTTCAGTTTTGAAGATTAATTTTGCCAGTTAGAGAATTCTTGATTGACCGTTTGTGTTTTTTTTAGTTTCAGCTCTTTATGTCTTCCAGTTGGGCACAGTGATTTATGCCTGTAATCCCAACACTTTGGGGAGCTGAGGTGGGAGGATCGCCTGAGCCCAGGAGTTCAAAGCTGCAGTGAGCTATGATCATGTCACTGCACTCCAGCCTGGGCAACAGAGTGAGACCCTGTCTCAAATAAATAAATAAATAAATAAATAAATACATAAGTAAATAAATAAATAAATAAATAAATAGTCTTCCCACTGCCTTCTGGCTTCCAAGGTTTCTGATGAGAAATTGGCTGTTAATTTTATTGAGGATGCTGTTTATGTGAGGAATGTTCTCTTTTATTGTTTTCAAGTTATTTCTCTTTGTCCTTGGTTCTGAAAAGTTTGATTATAATGTTTCTCTGTGTGCATCTCTGAGTTTATCCCACTTGGAGTTTGCTAAGCTTCTCAGATGTGTAGGAATATGGGAAGTTTTCAGCCATTACATCTTCAAATATTCTTTCTACCTGCTTCTCTCTTTTTTCTACTTTTGAGATTCCCCCAGTGCGTATACTGATAAACTTGATAGTGTCCCACAGATCTCTTAGCTTCTATTCACTCTTCTTCATTTTCTTATTCCTACTCTTCATACTGGATAATTGTAATTGTTCTGTCTTCAAGTTTGCGGATTATTTTTTCTGCTTGCTCAAGTCTGCTGTTGAAATGCTTTAGTAAATTTTTCATTTAGGCTATTGACTTGTTTCTAGAATTTTTATTTTGTTCTTTTTGTAATTTTTGTCTCTTTATTGATATTCTCCACTTCATTTATTATTCTTCCGGTTTCCTTTAGTTATTCTCTTAGGTTTCCATTATCTCCTTTTTTTTTTTGAGACAGAGTTTCACTCTTGTTGCCCAGGCTGGAGTGTGCAATGGCACAGTCTCGGCTCACTGCCACCTCCACCTCCCAGGTTCAAGTGATTCTCCTGCCTCAGTCTCCTGAGTAGCTGGGATTACAGATGCCCACCACCCCACCAGGGTAAAACCCCAGACAGGGTTTTACCATGTTGGCCAGACTGGTCTCGAACTCCTGACCTCAAGTAATTCACCTGCCTCTCCCTCCCAAAGTGCTGGGATTACAGGCATGAGCCAGCAGGCCTTGCCTCCACTAGCTCTTTAAGCATATATAAGGCATTTGATTTAGTCTTTGTCTGGTAAGTCCAATGTCTGAGCTTTCTCAGAGACAGTTTCTATTATTTTTTTTTCCTGTGAATTGGTCATACTTTCCTATGTTTGTATCCTCTACAATTTAGTGTTGAAAAGTAAACATTTTGAATATCATTATGTGGTACATCTGGAGATTGGATTATCTCTCTACCCTCCCTAAATTTTTCTGTTGTTGCTTATTGAGGTTTGTAGTCATTTGTTTAGAGACTTTTCCAAACTATTTTTTCAAAGGCTGTCTTTCTTGTCATGTGTAGTCACCAGAATCTCTGTTCTGGTATCGCAGCAGTAAGTTAGTGACAGATAGAAATTTCTTTGAACACCTAGAACCAAAAAGAAAATGAAAATACTATCCCTATCTTTGCAGATTATCTCTGAGCTGAGACACTTGTGAAATGCTTAGCCAGTCCACCTTGGCAATGACTTAACATTCACCTTTTGATTGCACAGAGCTCAGAGATTGGCCAGGGGTCAAGCTTAGGGTCCTCTCAGGTCTTTTCTGAGATCGTATCCAGTGATGATCTTGCACTCTGGAGTCCCTAATATACATAGTAACCCTTTAAAGCCCTTATTTCCCAAGTGTTATCCTCCTCAGCCTTCTCTTTCTCAGGTTTTATAATCTGTCTGCTTCTTGCCCACATCCAATCCCTATCTGGTCCCCCTTGCCCTAGGAAGCTATAAGTAGTACAGGTCTTTAAATGCTTTGATAGACACCAGCCCAGGAAGCTGCTCCAGCCAGATGAGGGCAAAATGAAAACAAGCTTCTGTGCTGGTCGCTTGGACAATTATCAGACAGGCCAAAAAGCATAGTCACAATATTAATGGGATTCATATTGCACCTTCTGGTAACTTCAAAAGCCACCTTGGCTACTGTCAAATTGGAGAATATTGGTGATAGGCAAGTGAGCAAAATCATTGTACCACTTTCTTACCAAAATTTAGCAGCCTCTTTTTTTCATTAAGTACTTTCTTGGTTGTTGTAAGTGTTCTGTTTATATTTTAGAGTTCCACAAAAGTTAATTCCATCAGTGTTTTCCAGCTTTATAACTGCTTCATTGGAGTGACCTGATGCTTCCTACTCCATTTTCTGTGATGTCAATATCACTTTTTAAAAAAATTGCTGGTACTTAATTTTATCAGAAAGTGCCAGTGGAAAGTTGTCAGATGACTTAGATTCATATTCTTTTCTCAAATGGTTTGTTATTTTTGGTTTGTTGACTGAAAAATGTAACAGTTGCTATTATCCAGTTACACCATTATTGCTGATAAAACCTCTTCCATAGGCTGGAGATGGTGTAGTTAAGGTACTAAGAAATCAGTAAGTGATAATTATTGCTGTTTTTTCTCTGACCCTTTTCTCCTCCTCCACCAGCATTGTACCCTGTTCTAAACCTAGCTTCAATCCCCAGACTGCAGTTTTCCAATCCTGCTGACCTGCTATAAATCTATTGCGTATGGGCATACTGCTTGTCAGCTAATCTTGTACATACAGATCCTGGATTTGGCTTGCTGCTGGGTTGGTGATTTTCCCCAGGTGCCAGTATCCTGGGCATTCATGAGAATGAAACTATAAATTCTATATGTTATCCTTTTGGAAACTAAGCAAATGTTATAGTGAATGCATGTAATTGTTAGTTAAAAGATTAAATTCTCCATTCTCTAATCTTGTTTTAAAATAACAATCATATTAAACATTGCAGAGGCATGACATCATTCCCTGATGATTTTCTACAAAGCCAGATAGAATTACCCATGTTTCTTAGAAAAATATATATCTCTAAGTATATGATTAACAGATATTAATAATACCACCATCAAGAATACACTGTCTTAGGCCAGACGCAATGGCTCATGCCTGTAATCCCAGCACTTTGCCAGGCTGAGGTGGGCAGATCACTTGAGGTCAGGAGCTCGAGAACAGCCTGTCCAACATGGTGAAACCCCGTCTCTACTGAAAATACAAAAATTAGCTGGGGGTGGTAGGTGCCTATAATCCCAGCTACTTGGGTGGCTGAGGCCAGAGAATCACTTGAACCTGGGAGGCAGAGTTTGCAGTGAGCAGAGACCGTGCTACTGCACTCCAGCCTGGGCAACAGAGTGAGTGAGACTCCATTTCAAAAAAAACAAAAAAACAAAAAAACCCCAACATCTTGATGCCTCAAGATATATACAATTATGTCACTAATTTTATATTAATGTGTTCTGTCTATATAAAAAAAATTTAGGCTCAAAATTCTGGAAAGTCTTTGTGTGTGGAGGGGAGGAGTTTACTCACAGCATACATTTTGCCAAACTAATTTTTAAATATATGAAGTCTCAGATTTCTCGATTATAAATTGTTCTACATGAGTTTTTAAGGAACATAATTCTCAGATTAGGAAAAATATACGTTTTGCCTGTGGCCAAGCCTGTACAATTGGGATTTTGATATAATCAAATGACTTAGAAAAATCGTTAGTATGTCTTCCAATTACCTGGGAAGTGAGTGACTCTGATGCACATTGTCTAAGGACATTTTGAGATAAGTGGCATACTAAAAGAATAAGCATGATCATATAGAAATAATGAAGTAAGTCAAAAAAGAAACATGACTTTTCATAGCTGTCCATGAAGCAAACCTACTTATATCCATTTCATAAGCAAGGAAACTTTCTCTGAGACGCAAGACATTAGAGAATCTTAGGTGACATTGTCAATAAATGAAGAAGTGCCAATGCAAAGCCTGGTCTTCCCAACTCAATGATTTTGCTCTTCCTTTTTGGTTTTTCTGGTATAAATTTTTTTTTTTTTGAAACAAGGTCTGGCTCTGTCTCCCAGACTGGAGTGCAGTGGTATGATCTCAGCTCACTGCAGCCTCAACCTCCCAGGCTCAAGTGATTCTCCCACCTCAGTCTCCCGAGTAGCTGGGATTACAGGTGCGTGCCACCATGCCTGGCTCATCTTTGTATTTTTTGTAGAGACAGGGTCTCCCCATGTTGCCTAGGCTCGTCTTGAACTCCTGAGCTTAAGCTATCTGCCTGCCTCAGACTCCCAAGTACTGGGATTACAGGCGTGAGCCACTGTATCTAGCCATTGACATATAATTTAATTAAGTCAGTAAGGAAAAGATCCAGGTTGTCCTTTTTTTTTTTTTTTTCCCAAATTTCAGATGTAGAAATTAAGGTATATTGCTGTTCCAACAACAACTTGCTATTGGTACTTTGCTACAGGATATGTGTACCACTGGGTGCCTAGTAATCCACTGCCTGCCTGCACCTCTGGACATCTCTCTGAATTAGCACAAAGTGGCTCCCTGCCCCAGTGGAGGCCAGAGCCCTTGGTGTATGTCCCCCAACTGGGGAGGAATTGCTGTTGTAAAGAGTGGAAATAAGCAGATGTTCTCAATGCAGAACTAAGATAGACATCTCCAGAGTGTGGCAGAGTGACATCATCTGCCCTTTTGCAAGTACCAGTTCAGCTGCTTCAGTGGAGAATGGAAAAGCAATTTAGAATCCGTGGTCTACTCCTCTTAGGAAGAGGCAATGATTCTTCCGAGCATGAGACCCATCAGGCTTGACTCATTAGTCAGATTTTAAAAAATACAACTGCGAGAGGTCCACTGAAGCCATTAAGGAAGTGAGCACTGACTCTCTCTATCATCCTTAGAGATTTCCCCAAATCACTGGATTGGGGAAAGGCTACTATTTTCCAGTAGTTAAACTAATATTATGTATCTACTCTGAGTTAAGAGTTGTGCTGGTGTGGGGAATACAATAGAGAATAAAGGAGATGATAGTCATTGTCTTCTTGGAGAATTGTCCATGAAAAGAGGGAATAATAAATCAAACAATTCAGAAATAAATAATTGTTCTGAAAGGATGATGTAAAATTGTTTATCACATCCTGGATATTCTGAAGGGAAAGAAGATGGTAGAATATGGAATGTGCCTTTGATAGGGTGGACAAGCAATTTCGGGGAAAGCAAACATTTTAATTGAGATCACAAGGATGAGAAAATCCATTGGTGTGAATAAATGAGAAAAGCACATTCCAGGCAAAAGAACAGAAAGCACTGGCAAAGGTGCCAAGGTAGAGATGAGGGTGGCAACTCTAGGAACTGAGGAAATGCCTCTGTTTGTGAGGCTCAGGGCATGATGAAGAGAAGCCTATGATCAGGTTGGGAAGCGAGAGATTTGCCGATTTGTAGATCTTGGTTAGAATGCCAATTGTGTGAATCCTTAATGCAGGATAGTGCTGTGGAAATAAGACATATATTTTTAATATGATTTGTACTATTTACTATAAATATGGCAAACAAGAAGAAATGAGAGTGATTTACCAATGACCAGGGCCACCAATCTCATTTCCTAACACAATAGTTTTATAACTTCTCTTTTACACATATGTGCAACCCCAAATCTCTCCCATCTAATTCTTTAGAATTACTTTGGAATTTAAAGGGGAGGAAAGTCTTTGTACTCTTAAATGAACAACTTACCCTATCTATTTGAAAAAAACCATCCTAGTCAACATTTTGAGAAGAGGTTTAACAATAAGCAGAAGTAGAATATACATCTAGAAAAGAGAATATGATACACTTTAGAAAAGAAAGCAAGACATGATATTCTTTCAGAAGAAAGGAATGTAACATTGAAGATAGAAGAAGGATTAAGAATATTTTTGTTAAGATTTTGATTTTTAGGGTATGTGCATAACTTTTGCACATATGGGGCCATATTCATTTCATGTGGTTATATTTATTTCTCTCATTTCTAGTCACAGACTGTTCAGACTGTCTTAACTTCACCCAGATAAACTCATTTAATCTTTAGAAAACATTAATGAGCAGGTATAATTATCCTCATTCTATGGATTAAATAATTGGAATTTACAAAGTTTAATAACTCCTTGAAGCTCATGCAGACCAGACCATATGCAATAGAATGAAAACTCAAATGCAGGTTGATTTTGAATTTGTACTCTTTCATTTGTTTACTGAGATATGATTCCTGTACTATAACATTAACCTTTTAAAGTATACAATTCAATATTTTTTTTAAAAAAATTCTCAAGGTTGTGCATACATCACCACTGTACTTTGACCTCCTCATTCTTATTCCTACACAAGTAAGGGAATGGTGGGTTATTTTGGTTTCTTTACTCATTTTGTTTTGTCTTTTGGAGAAAAGCTTGGTCATTTAGAGAAAGTGTTAAGTAAGATGAGTGGAATAAAGCAAGGCAAATTGGGCAAATAATTCCCAGCTGGAGAAACATCTAGGTAAAAGCAAGAGGGCACCAAAGAAAGAGGCCCTTTTTTTTTGGCAACTCCAAATTGACCTTTATGGATGGAGGATGGTGAATTTTGGAAATAAGAACATTAAGCTACACTATGTTAGCTTTACCATGAGTTTCTGTAAGATGTTTGGATTAAAAAACAAACATCAAAGATAATGCCTTATGTAATAATTTATAAAGATAGTATCTTTCTCGGTCTTTTTCAATCTCTCTCTTAATCTCTTAGTCTCAAAATATCTATTAATCTTCCTTTCTCTTTCACATACACACACTGATTTGTACCATTTCACAAATAATATATATTTTGAATGGAAAAGGGCTGACATATTGATCAAATAAACCTCTCTTTAAAAAAAAAGATGTTTAGTTATTTATGAGAAACTGGGCAATGTTTTAGTATACTACAGGGGCTGAAGAACCATGAAGTGGTAGAAAGGGAATGGATTGTGGAATGGAGTTGTTGTGAATTTAATTCCCAATTCTGGTAAGCACCAAATGTCTGAGCTTGGGTAAGTCACTTATCATGTATGTTGTAAGCTCTTCATCTGTAAAGTGAAATGAAATAATATCATTTCATATTTATTATTTTAAAAACCAAATAATTTTAGTAATATCTATTATTTGTTAATAATTATTAATTTAGCAATTAATAATTTATTAATAACAAAGAATAATTTATTAATAACTACTTTATTAATACATAGATAATATTTATTATAATAATAAAACAACTACCAAATATTTTGTGTAAATTATATGTAATTGCATATGTCAGGAGTCCTAAATAATCCATTTCTATGGACCCTGGGATTCTATGCAAAATATATTTATATGCATTCTGGAGGCAAGAGTGTGTATAATCTTTATCAGATTTGTCAGATTTCTTAAGTTATTAGTCTTAAAATACTCAAGGCTCAAAACAAAGCCCTCCAAAAGGGGACTTTCATATTAATAAATACAAAAAAAAATAAATACAAGAGATATATATATGTATCTCTTTATTTTTATTGGAAATACTGTCAGAGTAATTTACTAATTAAGCCCCCCAATCAACACAATAGCAAGGCAGTTGCTAATAGAATGGAATAGAGGCAAGTATTCAGAATTATACTGAGGAAAATTTGTTCATCAAATGTAGGCGCACATATAGCATAGCCATTGATATCTTGGTCTCCTGAATGACACAATCTGAGTTCCACAGTCAGTAATGACCCTGACAGGAGCTAGCATTTACATACGTGTTATAGCTAGTAACAATTACATCGTATTGTGTTAAGCCACGGACATTTTAAAAGTTGCTTTCTTTCTTAGAAAAAGTCTAAGGAGTGCCTAAGGGAGTTTGTGAAGAACAGGGTGGTGCTTTTTAAAATGAATCCAAGATCTAGACTCTTACCTTTGGTGGCTTCATCATCCTCCAATGACTTTGGCATGTCCTCCATTTAGCTTGTGTTCCGTGGTGAGTAGGTACGTTGCAAACCTACCTGCAAAGGCCTAGGGAGCTGAGAGGCTGAAAAAACAGGCTGACAAATCTGATTTCTCAGAAAGTCTATGCCTGTAACCCTTATATAAATTAGGTCAATTCTTATTTTTTGGAGGTCCTAAAACATCCCAAAGTGTCTGGATCTGTCAGGAAGTGATTTTCTTTTACAAGGTCAGGAACTTTGTAAGGGAATCGTACAGACGAGGTTTCAGGCCAGTCTTTCCAAGGGGTTTTTTATTGGCTCTATAAATTTTAATTCCTCAAAGTAGTCTGGTTATATTTGAAAATATGCCATTCCAGTCAAAACCTTGGCAAAATAATGAGTGTCTCCAAAGTGTCATGTTACAAAAGAAAACATTTTTATTGAACTGATGCAAATATCTATTTTGCTATAAAATAAGAATACCCATGAATAATTTCCAAATTGTGGAAAATCAGGAAGAGACAAAGGTAAATGTTTCAGTTTTGCTCACAAAAGTATACTTTACCTAATTGCTATAAGCTATAAATCACTAAAAAGGGGGAAAAAGGTTTTCTTAACTCTGGAAAACAAAACCTAAGAAGAATCAGCAATGTTTCAAACAAAAAGTCATAAACATCATTTCAGTTCTTTACCAGTTTAGTCCCATGTAATTCTTGCTCTGCCGGGTTAGCCATCTTCATGAGCATATCATATTTATTTATTTATTTATTTATTTGAGATGGAGTTTTGCCCTTGTTGCCCAGGCTGGAGTGCAATGGAGCGATCTCGGCTCACTGCAACCTCCGCCTCCCGGGTTCAAGTGATTCTTCCAGCCTCCAAAGTAGCTAGGATTACAGGCGCCCGCCATCACCCGCAGCTATTTTTTTTTTTTTTTTCATATTTTTAGTAGAGACAGGTTTTCACCGTGTTGGCCAGGCTGGTCTTGAACTCCTGACCTCAGGTGATCCACCCAACTTGGCCTCCCAAAGTGCTGGGATTACAGGCATGAGCCACCGCCCCTGGCCGCATATCAGTTTTTTATTACAGTTCTTAAAGTTTTTACCGAGTCCAATGGTGTGTTATCCAAAGTTATCAGAAACCTGTATTCAAAATTACTTGATGAAGTCCTTTTCATGAATTTTCTAGAAGACACAAAACTTTAGGATTTGCCAAAGGTTTTTAGAAAAAAGCATCAGAATAAAGCAATTATTGAATAAACCAAGACATAGATTTTTAGGCATCTCATACAATTTTGAAACACATATTAATACAAATATAACTCAAAGAAAGTTAAACATCATTTCTTATTTGACAATGTTTCCCATATGATTTTAACATACCAAATAAGCCTAACATGTCTTTTCTGGCCTTTCAGGGGAACTATATGTTATCTCAAAGTTATTTGGGGCACAAAAACCTTGATTTTAGAATTTGGAATTTGATTTTGGAAAGTATATCAAATATCAAAAGTTTAAAACACTGTCGCAATAAGAAGGGCTTAAGGCACTTGATCAAAATGAAATAGAATCACAGGTCACTGTAAGATAATAGTCTTTCATTTAGCCAGAGTGATAATTCAAAGATTTCAAAAAGCAATATCCTTTACTCTGAGAGAGACTCAGTTTTTCAAACTGACAGAACTAAGAAAGACAGTATGAGATGGAATTGGTCTTTCCTCTTCCTTTTCTTTTTTTTTAATTACGAGTTTATTCAAAAGGTGAACAAAAATCATTTGCTACTGCTGATTAATACTACCTAAAGTTCTTGTTCAAAGAAGAAAATCAAATTTTATTTTATATTAGTGTATTATCAATACTAAACCTAATTTTAATAAAACCTTATAAACAAATTCATCCATTCTTAGTTAGCTTTAGACCACACAAGACAAGATTTTCATAAACGTTTTATAACTTCTTACAAGTTGTTTTATATCTTTTCTTTCCCTAGCTTTCTATGTTCATTCAGTTTCAGCTATCATTCTTTTAACTTATTCAATTTAAAACAACCTTAAAAATCTCTAAACTAGAAAAAATCGCTTTCCCTTTAGCAGAATACACATACTCATGTCTTTTTTTACAACCCTCCTTTCCAAAAATCACCTTACTTTTTTAATACATTTTGTATATTGAATTGTTTCTCTTATATCTAGTAGTTTTAATTATATATATATATAAAATATTACAATTTTAACTCTTATTAACTCTAATTTCCAGTGAAAAACCTAGGAATTAATTTTAAACTGTTTTTTTTGTTGTTGTTGTTTTTGTTTGTTTGTTTTTGAGACGAAGTTTTGCTCTTGTTGCCCACACTGGAGTGCAATGGCACCATCTCTGCTCACTGCAACCTTTGCCTCCCAGGTTCAAGAGATTCTCTTGCCTCAGCCTCCCAGGTAGCTGGGATTACAGGCACATGCCACCACGACTGGCTAATTTTCTACTTTTAGTAGAGACAGGGTTTCTCCATGTTGGTCAGCCTGGTCTTGAACTCCTGACATCAGGTGATCTGCCCGCCTCAGCCTTCCAAAATACTGGCATTACAGGTGTGACCTACCACGCCTGGCCTTGAACTGTTTTATATCAGTATTTGTAGATGAAAATAAATTTCAGAATTTATTAAAAAGATGTTTTCCTAATTTTTGTTTATAAGATTTAAGTACGTTTAGCTTTTCTACAGTAAAAAATAAGATGCCAAAGAATATAAACTTACATTTGATAATTAATGTTTTAGTATTTTAACATTTCTAGAAATGACTTTGGCATTTTATGATTACTTACTTTTTTTATTTTTTTAATTAATTAATTAGGTGCCATGACTTAATTTAATGTAACATGAGTTTAAGATATTAAATTACTGAAAAACATTGAAACTATGACACAGATACCCTCCATAATGACTTCTTCAGTTTCCTTTTTTTTTTTTTTTTCACTTTTTAAATTTTTGAGACAAGGTCTTGCTTTGTCACCCAGGCTGGAGTGCAGTGGCACAATCTGGGCTTAGTGCAACTTCTGACTCCTGGGCTCAAGCGATCCTCCCACCTCAGCCTCTGAGTCACTGGGACCACAGGTGTGACCACACCCCACTAATTTTTGTATTTTTGGTAGACATGGAATTTCACCATGTTTCCCAGGCTGGTCTCTAACTCTGGAGCTCAAGTGATCCACCGACCTTGGCCTCCAAAAGTGCTGGGATTACAAGGGTGAGCCACCACACCCAGCCCAACTTCTCCATTTTTCTTGGGCCCCAACTACTCATCTGGTACCCAAGGATGGCTATGTAGGCTAGCACCTATCTGAGTCCTGAACTTACACATTAAGAGTAGAGCTCAGGACAGAGGAGAGAGCTGTGAAGATAATCTCTGATCTTTTCAGACATAGCTAGGAAGAGCAACTGGGCCAGGGAGTGCTCAGCTGCCTTAGGCTTTACGATGGCCATTTAAAGCACAGAATCTAATGACTTTAAGACGTAAGCTCACAGACAAGTCAAGCAAGTATCAAACACATCAGAGAAGCAACCATTTTATGACTTTAAAAAATCTAGAAGGAATAGTCAAAGTCATAAACTTGAATAGTATTTGGGATTATTAACTTATGAGCACTCATTTATGTATAAGTCAATTTGGCATTATGTAGATAATATACAAACAGGCACATACACAAGTATACATAAAATACAGACAAATAAGGATTTTTATAGCTTTGATTTTTAAATTTTAGCTATGAGAAGGGTAAAACTCACTAGCTTAAAAGGACAGTTGGATTCAAACTTTGTAAGTGGAACAAGCTAAAGTTTATCTGCCCCACATGGCCAAAGCCCTTACAGAGCTTTAGAGCAAACAGGGTAGCAGATTTCCATGTTAAAGTGCAGTGTGAGAATTTAAGCTTTTCTAAGAAGGGATTTTGGTGTGTTGGAGGAAAAATTTAAAAGAATGCCAAGGTAACACAAAATTATAGGAATTCACCACAGGATTTTATAAGGAGATCAATTTCATTTATGTAGTTAGCTTCTCATTTTATTTCCATTTTCCAACTGGACCACTGAGCTTAAGGTGGTGCCCATTAACAAATAGGGCTCACAAAGCATTTGCCATTTCTGGGGCCTAATATTTATCTTATGTAAAAAGTAGGTACAGCTGAAAGGTAGAACACTTAGATCCCCCCAAAATCAAGAATCCCCCTTTTTTTTTTTGAGATGGAGTTTTGCTCTTGTTGCCCAGGCTGAAGTGCAGTGGTGTGATCTTGGCTCACTGCAACCTCCACCTCCCTGGTTCAAGTGATTCTCCTGCCTCAGCCTCTTGAGTAGCTGGGATTACAGGCATGCACCACCGCACCAGGCTAATTTTTGTATTTTCAGTAGAGACAGGGTTTCTCCATGTTGGTCAGGCTGGTCTTGAACTCCCGACCTCAGGTGATCCGCCTGCCTCAGCCTCCCAAAGTGTTGGGATTACAGGCATGAGTCACCATGCCCGGCCCCGTTTTTACACTTAACCCTGGCTCCCCCCTAAAAGGGAAAATCCACAGGGCTAGACAGTGCAACATTTCCACAGTGTACCTGACTGCAGGGACATTCCTTTTGAAGCTGGGGGGCAACCCAATTTGTGATCAGTTTATCCCCCATGGGAGTTGTATCCCTTAGTGTTGAGTGTTTCCATAGACTCTAGGTATTCAAATGACGCTTTTCATACCTAAACATGCAAAAAAAAAAAAAAAAAAAAAAAAAAAAGGAGTAGCCCTTAACCACTCGTGGTAAATGCTGACAGCCGCATTCAGAACTGTAGCCCCCATCAGTCACTTGTCAGCCATTGCACACTCAAAGGTCATATTCTCTCATAGGACAATGTAATAATCCCTGATGCTCCCCAAAGCCAGAGATATCATGAAGCTCAATGCAAAAGAGACCAGAGAAAAACCTTCCCATGAGTCTTGGGACTCCATAAAGAAGGCAGAAGTCCCCTTGAAAAGGTTCATGGCAGCTTTTTCTGTGTTCCTCAAGGAGTCATAGGGACTTTACGTAAGTCACTATTACAGCATTTATTAAAGACTTACAGACAAAAGCAATGTCTTGGACAGCTGTGAGATGGTGGTCCTCCCATCCACCCTCCAGAATATATCCTTTATATAGTAAGCTTTTTTTTGGTAAAACATGCAGTTGGTCATGCCTCAGACTTTTTGCAAAACCCGTGACCACTGAGAAAGTTAAACATCTTTATGAGGAGTTCTCTCTACTGTGGGAACCCCTTGGTATGCAAGAGTCAAACATCAGACATCATGGTGGTTTCCTTTCAAGATGGCATCACTCTTGTCGTGCAACAGGCTGTTTTCCTACAGCCACTGATCTGGACCACTTTTTAATTTTTTTTTTTTGAGACAGAGTCTTGCTCTGTCACCAGGCTGGAGTGCAGTGGCGCGATCTCGGCTCACTACAACCTCCACCTCCCAGGTTCAAGTGATTCTCCTGCCTCAGCCTCCCGAGTAGCTGGGACTGCAGCTGTCCGCCATCATGCCCAGCTAATTTTTGTATTTTTAGTAGAGACAGGGTTTCACATGTTGGCCAGGATGGTCTCAATCTCTTGACCTCGTGATCCACCCGCCTTGGCCTCCCAAAATGCTGGGATTACAGGCGTGAGCCACCGCGCCCAGCCCATCTACTTCTTAAACATGTTAATCTGGAAGGACTCACACTATTTCTTCTCACATCTGTTGGCCAGAAGTTAATTGTGTTGCTACACCTAACTGTGAGGAAAGTTTGAAAATGTAGCTTAACATGCACTAAAAGGAGAAAATGGATTTTGATTAACTCATGGTGCACTCCATCATACTGGCTTCACTGAATTGAGCAAATAATTACTTTTCTTCTCTCAAGTTCTCACTTTTCTTATATATAAGATAAAGAGTTTAATACTTTCCTTATGGGGTTGCTAAGTATTAGATGTACTAATCAAGGTAAGGCTTTCACACTTTTCTTGGCACAATGTAAGGGTTCAATAAATGTTCGTTATCATTATTTATATTATAATTTCAGCAGGAGCCAGAACATCTTTCCTGAGAGAAGTTAATGCTGTCTAGGTGAATACACGGTTCTCATCAGCAAAGATTCAAAATAACTCAGTACCTCAAAAGACTTCTGTTCAAAAAATGAAAACAAACAGAATTAAACCAACACACACATATACATAATACCTCTTCACAGCTAATGCTTAAAGGGAGGCTTTGGTGATCTCTTGCTCAAGTTCAGATATGAGCTTTTCTATCACTTCTAGGATGAGAAAAAATGAATCCAAATTTGATTTTTTTGATAAAGTGGTTGTCACCAGGGCTAACTGTTCCAGCAATCACTAAGTGTGAATTGAATTACAGCCTAAATGCCTTTCCATTCAGTTTTGTGGTTTATGACTGCCACCAGCTACAGGTTTCTGGCTGCTGAATGAAGAAAGAAAGACACAGCACTTACCAGTAATCATATAACTGTAACTACAGACCATTCTGATTTATCAAAGTGTAATCTGGGTAAGTTAGAGAATATAAAATGCAAGCACATTATCCCTAGCAAGTTTTAGTAGAAGCTAATATTTGTAGGACATATTTCAGTCTGGTACAGCGTACATATTTTGGTCCTTGGAGCTCTTGTATACTTCATTTCCCCTTCCTCCTCTCTTTGATATTCTTTCTTCCTACACAATTGATTATTAGGTCTTCAAGTCATACATAGAACATCTGGAACATTCCTGAAATAGGGCCAAGAGTGGAGGCACATGCCTGTAATCCCAGCTACTTGACAGGCTAAGACAGGAGGATTGCTTGAGACCAGGAGTTCAGACCAGTCTGGGCAACAAGCAAGACCCCATCTAATAAAAAAAAATCCCTTATAAAGGGACATTTAGCAAATATTAGATAGATAAATAACAAAAAACCTTTAAACTGAGTGTATGATATTAACATGTAGGATTAGAATAAACACTTACAGAGCTAAAACTCTATATAAGAGCTGGGAGGTGTTTGCCTGTTTTCCCATCTGGGAAATAAAGGCTTAACTTCCCCAGTAAGATGGGGTCCAGGCAAATAAATATAACTAACAATTGAAATTTATATATATGTAAATGTATATGTATACATGTCTCACACATATCTGTATATGAGATATACATAAATATGACTCAATGAATCAACAGATACAGATAGATAACTGAAGAGGTTATTTAATTAACAAAGGGGCATTGACAAAGTTTAATTTTAATTAACAAAATAATTACATTTTTAATTAAAGTAATATAAAGAAGAAAAAATATTTGATAAGAATGACTGAACCATCACTGTGGAAAGAAAACTCCATGTATTTTACTACAGTAATAATAATGGATATTTACTTAATTTCTACTTTGGGTTAAGAACCTTGCTACAAACTTGGTATGTGCATCATGTTAAATACCCTCACAGAATGTATTTGAGTATTTCATTTCATTTCGTTCACTGATAAAGACACTAAGGCTTAAAGAAGTTGGTTTGTCAAGCTTCACCCAGCTGTCAAGTGGCAGAACCAGAATTTGATTCCAGATTTTTTGAAGCTCCAAGCCTTCACTTCTCTTAGCATAAAGGAATATGTGGCTTAGTTTGAAGGAAAATGTGGCTAGCATACCAGTGAATGTCTTCCGCTTTCACTTCATTTTTAAATTTTTACTGCATTTATAGATGCTAGAGAATGTGTGTGTGTGCACATGTGTATCTCTCTAGCTCTCACATAACATTAACAATGTCCTGTATTTATCTACTCTCTCTGCCAATATTGCCATTCTGTTGGTCAACTAGTAGAGTTGTAAAGAGACTCTGCAATTCATTATGGCTCAGAAACTGAACATTGTGAGTTCCTTTGATGCCCCTCCGCTACAGAGAGAACCACAATGCTGTGAGTTTTGAATTTCGGTGAGGTTCACACTAAACAGTGTGAAGAAGTTGTTCTTTCTCTAAATTCTCAACCTGTACACTTGATATTGCCAGGTATTCTATACTATTAGCCAGTTGACTAGATGTGACTCTCTCCCTGTCTCTCTGAAGACATTAATAATGGTCGTTTTTATGTTTTCTCTTCCCCTTTCTTAGCTTGTTTCCTCCGAGTTCCTTCTGTCATTTTGTCCTATATCCTCCCTGTTTTTTGTTTCTTTGTTTGGTTGGCTTGTTTTGTTTTGAGACAGAGTTTTGCTCTTTTTGCCCAGGCTGGAGTGCAATGGCACATTTTGGCTCCGTGCAACCTCTGCCTCCTGGGTTCAAGTGATTCTCCTGCCTCAGCCTCCCAAGTAGCTGGGATTACAGGTACGCCACTATGCCCAGCTAATTTTGTATTTTTAGTAGAGATGGGGTTTCATCATGTTGGCCAGGCTGGTTTCAAACTCCTGACCTCAGGTGATCCGCCCACCTCGGCCTCCCAAAGTGCTGGGATTACAGGCGTGAGCCACCAAGCCCGGCTGTCCCTGTTTTTATATTTTACTTATTCTAGCTTACGTTACTCATGTTAATTTTTACAATTATCTGGTAATTGCTGACTTTTTCTCACTTTAACAGTAGAGCCATAAAAACCTGATGAAAAGAGACTTCTTATAATGTGAGCCAGACGGTAGAGTGATCTAGCTGATCCATTTCACCAGGAAACCTCTGACATTACTAGTTTTATTTATTTTTTTTTAACCTAGACTGGGTATCTACTGTTTGTTACATCCAGTCTTCACAAAAATGGTACAAGGAAAGTTAGATTTTTCTATACTTTTAGATAAATGACTGAGGATTCAGGACATTTATATACTTTGTTCCTGAGCAGACACTTCCAATGTTCAACTTGATGAAGACTTTTTGCATGTATCCTGAGAGATACTGGGGAAAGGTTGGAGAGAGTCTTAATGTTCAAAATGCAATCTTTCACTTAACTCCTCCCTCCATTAGTAGTAAACCAATTCTTTCTTTTCTTTTCTCTTTGTCCTTGTGATTGTGCCTTTTGGTGTTGTCTTCTCTACTTACATTATAAAAATTTTTGAGGAAGAACTTCATGCTGTGTTGAATCAACCAACTCTAAACAAAAATCCATCATGATTTTAATTTACATGTCTTTGATTACCAATGAAGCCATATATGTGCAGACATGTTCTGTTAAATTCGTATTCATGTATTTGCACATTTAAAAGATCAGCTGTTTTTTATATATCTTTAGAAATTCTTTGTGTATTTTAGTACTAATCTTTTGTTACATATGCTGCAAAAAGGTACTCTTCACTTCATATGAGAGAATGTACTGAATAATTACAGAGTCTAATAAATAACAGCATCTACTGTTTGTAACATCCAGTCTTCACAAAAATGATACAATGAAAGTTGGATTTTCTATACTTTTAGTTAAACAACTGAGGATTCAGGACATTTATATACTTTGTTCATATTCCTCCAATTTGTTAGATTGACTGGAGTGTAAGCCCAAATCTGAAACCACTCTATTTCAACTACTATTCTGACATTTGTTATCCTCAGAGAGAGCAAAGTTCTAGGCCATATCTATTTGGGAATGGTCTTTGGATTACAAAAATGCAATAGAACATATCTATTCTAAATAAAATGAAAGAAAACTCTACAATTAAATTTTAGAATATATGTTATAGTTTTCGTGTGTGTGTGTGTGTGTGTGTGTGTGCATGTGTGCTTTAGAAACAAGGCTGATAAGTCTTATTTTGTTCAACTAGGACTTATCTGCTACTAAAATTCAAGTCTACCAATTGGAAACTTTGTTTTGAAAAGTAAGGAAGAGAAGGAAGAAGATATAAAACTGTGCTTCACAGATTCCCCTTATTATATGGTTTTATTCTCTCACAGACTCTCCTAGTATTTCCTGACTATTATTCTAATATTATATCAATTATTTGAAACAAGTCTTGGAAATCAAACTAGGAAATAAGACACTTAATTTTTTCATGTTTTATATGTGTTAGATTAATGGGCAGAAGTAATCTACTGTAAAGTATGGAGAATACTATATGGAGTACAATTTCTCAATAAACTAAAATGCATAACCTTTTTATTTAAAAATGTTTTCTTTATGGCATAGTATAAGAAATATGGATGAGAATTGATGACAGAAAATGCTTTTGGTGTTTTCTTTGAGATCACAAAAACGTTCCCAGGTTGTATGTGGCATGAAAGAAGTCAGACCAGAATCTGTATTCCCAGGGCACTTCAGTGGCCTTTCAAAAATGTTTTCCATGGAGAGGAGACCAGAATCATAACTAAGATCTAAGACTGGAGATGAAAGGGTAATTACCCACTGAGGAATGTACCACATGTTATTGCTGAAAAGCGGAAGGACTCCTGAGAACTCTGCTCTTGATCATCTTGCCCTGTTGGAAAGTGGCATACATTGTATTTGGAGAACATATGATATTGAGCCAGAATTAATTCATTTCCCAACTTTTCCTCTTTAGAGTTTTAATGGCTTGGGGCCAAGTCGATCAATTTCTTTTAGTCTCAATTTTCTTCACCTGTAAAAGTAAGGAGGGAAATCTCTGCCATGCATTGTCACTTTAAGAATGAAATTATACAATTACCAGAAAGTGCTTTGTAAGCAATAAAACATTGTACCAATGAGGTTATCATTAGTAGTTTGATTAGCTGATCACTGTTGCTAATCATGATACCTCAAACAAACTTTGCTATAATGGCTTAAATACCACCTACATGACTCAATAATTCTGTACAGTGGATGAAAATCATGGCTTCGCTTGTGGATTAGGGAGGCAGTGGTGCTAGAGTGAAAATCAGAGTGTGCGTCCAGCAGACTGGGGTTCCCCTCTCACTCCTTTACTTACTGGCTGTGTGTCCTTGGGCAAGTTTCAGAACCTCTCTGATTTCTGATTTCCTTATCTAAAAATTGCAGGTTCTCATTTCTACCTCTAAGTGTTGCAATAATCACATAATATTTTTAACACCAATCATTTTACAAATTCCTGGACCTTAGTAGAAGCCCAGTAATTATTACTCCTGTACTTCTCAGATTCATTTTATTCTACAAATAGTTTGGATGTTCAAATAACATTTTTGAGTAATTCCTATGTGTCTGTTGGATGAAGAATCAAGTTTAGGCAGACAGCAGAGTTTGCAGAGAGAAGGGTAGTCTGCTGCCTAACTGAGAATGACAACTCCTAAATCTGGCCATATGTGAAAATAATAGTCTAAATGCTACATGTATAATGCTTAACACTTACTTCTTCAAGAATTGATGAGACTTCAGCTTCTCTCCTGAAAAGATCCTTTCTATCTGGGTCTTTGCTATCTTTATTTAGTCAAGAATAACTGTCTTCTTTGCCCCAATCATACTTGCCCCCACAATATTTTTCAGACAGATGGGCGGCTTGATTTGTAGTAAGAACTTAATAAATGTTGCTAATGAATAAAGACATTATTGCATCTACAATTGGCTAATTGGTTATGTTCTCATGTTTTCAGATTCATTGCTGTTGCTGCTGATGATGAAATAACATTAGTAACAACTACCTTCTATTTAGTAAATATGATGTTCCATGCATTATGCTAAGACATGATTTTTCGTCAAATCTTGAAAACAATTTTATACATGAAACAGAAGAAGGCACTTCTTTAAAGTCACACCTAATATTTTACAGAAGGACGGAAATAAGGTAGGGGAGGGAGAGATATATTGTGTTTAATTACCAGCCTATATTAAAATATCTGGTTTGCTTTATTCAAAATTCTATATTGATGTAGTGTTATCTCAGGTTATGACTTATTTTTGCTCATTGTATTAGTCCATTCTCACACTGTTACGAAGAAATAACCTGAGACTGGGTAATTTATAAAGGAAGGAGGTTTAATTGACTCACAGTTCTCCACAGCTGGGGAGGCCTCAGGAAACTTACAATCATGATGGAAAGCAAAGGAGAAGCAGCCACCTTCTTCACAGGGGGGCAGGGTGGAGGGAGTGCAAACAGAGGAAATGCCAGATAGTTTTATAAAACCATCAGATCTTGTGAGAACTCATTCACTATCACAAGAACAGCCGAGGAAAATCACTCCCATGAGCCAATTAACTCCACCTGGTCCCATCCTTGACACCTGGGGATTATGGAGATTACAATTCAAGGTGAGATTTGCATGGGAACAAAGAGTCAAACTGTATCACCTGCCTTCTCAATTGTTTTCTGATGTTTTTAATATACAAATAATCACCTATATTCAGCTCTATATTTTTATTCAAGTCATTCTTGTAATTCTGTGGTATGTAGCTTTGTATTTACTTTATAAACCTCCTATCAGTAAGACTGGGCTCAAACACATTCTTTCCATTCTGGAAAAAGATTTGCCATATTCTTTCCCAAAAGTGTTTTTGTCAAGAATCTGGGCCGGGCGCGGTGGCTCACGCCTGTAATCCCAGCACTTTGGGAGGCCGAGGCGGGTGGATCACGAGGTCAGGAGATCAAGACCATCCTGGCTAACACAGTGAAACCCCGTCTCTACTAAAAATATAAAAAATTAGCCGGGCGTGGCGGCGGGCGCCTGTAGTCCCAGCTACTCGGGAGGTTGAGGCAGGAGAATGGCGTGAACCCAGGAGGCGGCGCTTGCAGTGAGCTGAGATGGCGCCACTGCCCTCCAGCCTGGGCGACAGAGCGAGACTCCGTCTCAAAAAAAAAAAAAAAAAAAAAAAAGGATCTGAGGTTATTTCCAGAAATCTAAATCACATTGATTGACTTTTTTTGCTTCCCCAACTGGTAGTTTTTTTCTTCTAAAATCTGAAATATTGGCAGAAAAAAAGTTATATTCTTCAACTAATCAATTTCCTTCTCATGGCATAAGTGATGGCAGTTTGTTTTCTCTTGTTGAACTTATTTACTGCCATAGGAATCTGTAGATTAGATACGTGTTGGTGGACTTTTCATCATGTCCTGAATGACTGTTTCAGAAAGAAAGCAAGCATGCCTTCTCTCTCATGTTCTTCCTTCTATTTAGTCACTATTTCATTTCCTTGCTTTTTATTTTAATAAGGATACCTAAGAATTTAGCGCAGTATCTGGTGCATAGTTACCACTTATTATAAATCATAATTTTGATATTAATAGTTTTAATTTCATTTTTATTATTTGAGTTGATTGTTGCATGGCTTCAAAGGTGCATAGCTTTGCATAATCGTTTAAGTGTTTGCTTAAAATATTTGTCCTTAACTAATATAGTCCACTCAGAGTTAACGTGCTGTCATATTAAATGCAAACGACATTGTAACCGTCTAGTTCTATTTGTTCCCATGCTTTGTGCTGTGATATTCATATACAGTATTCTAACCTTTTTATAAACCTCATACTATGGTGGGGTTTATATTTCTCATAGTAATTAGCAGGCAGATATCTCATATAGTAATTAAGAAAAGGTAGCACATATTATCTTTTACATTTACACACTTATTTACCTTTCCTGGTATTCTTTACATATTTTTTTCATTACATCCAAGTTTCTAGTGGTGTCATTTCCCTTCAGCCAGAAAATTGTTCTTTAGTGTTTCTTGTAGTGCAAGGCTGTTGGTGATGAATTCTCTACTTATAGTAAAATGGCTGTAACTTTCTTTTATTTTTGGACAGTGTATTTTCAAGATCTAGATTTTGTCTTGACAAGTGTTTTCCCCCTTTCAACACTGTGAAGATGTTGTTCCATTATATTATAGCTCCTATATATTCTCTCTTCTTTTTTTTTTTTTTTTTTTTTGAGATGGAGTCTTGCTCTATTGCTAGGCTGGAGTGCAGTGGCGCGATCTTGGCTCACTGCAAACTCCTGGGTTCAAGCAATTCTCCTGCCTCAGCCTCCTGAGTAGCTGGGACTACAGGTGCGTGCCACTGCGCCCAGCTAATTTTTGTATTTTTAGTAGAGAGAGGGTTTCACCATGTTGGCCATGATGGTCTCGATCTCTTGACCTTGTGATCCACCTGCCTCGGCCTCCCAAAGTGCTGGGATTACAGACGGGAGCCACCGCACCCGGCCTATAGCTTCTGTATAATTTCTGATGAGAAGTCAGTCATATTTCATATCTTTATTTGCATGTACGTAATGTGATTTTACTTCTGTCATGGCTTTCAAGATCTTCCCTTTATCTTTGATTTTCAACTCTTCGGTGTATCCACACATGATTCTTTTTGTATTCATTGCATGTGGAGCTTGATTAATTTTTTGTTTTTTTATTTAGAGATGGGGTCTCACTATATTGTCCATGCTTGACTCAAACTCCTGGACTCCAGGGGATCCTCCTGCCTGAGCCTCCTGAGTATCTGTGACTGAAGGTGCATGCCGCTACACCCTGCTTGAGTTTTGTGCTTTTTAAAATTAGCATCCTGGGGTCAGGGGTGGTGGCTCATACATGTAATCCCAGCACTTTGGGAGGCTGAGGTGGGCAAACCACGTGACTCCTTCTAGAAATTATTTAACAAGGCTGGACTCCAAATCCAAACAGTTCCCTGTCTGAGGTGGGCAGCAGTGAAATATCTGAGGCTCCACCCCGTCTTTGCCCTAAGTCTCCCAGGTGCTTCTTTTGCCAAAAAAAAAAAAAAAAAAAAAAGCATCTTCTGTGCTTACTACGCCTAGTTTCAGCACTTTGCCAGGGATTTGCATAGAGCTTTTAAGTAAAAGCTGAAGATCCTCCTCTGTAGTCCCCTCCATTCTATGATTTTCCTCTCATACTCCATACACTCTGGCAGCTTCAAATTTCATACTTTCACTTCTCAAGACAAGAAGACTACAGATAGGCCAGGTGCAGTGGCTTACGCCTGTAAACCTAGCACTTTAGGAGGCCGAGACGGGTGGATCCATTGAGGTCAGGAGTTCAAGACCAGCCTGGCTGACATGGCAAAACCCCGTCTCTACTAAAAATACAAAAATTAACCAGGCATGGTGTGCCTGTAATCCCAGCTACTCAGGAGGCTGAGGTAGGAGAATTGCTTGAACTGGGGAGGCAGAGGTTGCAGTGAGCTGAGATCATACCATTGCACTCCAGCCTCAGCCTGGGGGACAAGAGCTAAACTGTCTTTAAAAAAAAAAAAAAAGAAAAGAAAAGAAAAGAAGACTACAGATTTCCGCTTGAGTTCTAACTACACAGTCCTGGGTAGACTGGAAAGTATATTCAGGCCATAGAAACATGAAATTTACTAAGGGCAGTTGTCTTTTTTCCTCCAGTTTCTGACTACTTTTTCTTTTTTCCAGTGCATTTGTATAATTACTGTGTTTTTAAACAGAGGGTCAAGATTTTATATTAATTATCAGCTGATTAATCTAATACATGCTACTCTGCCAATGTTAAAAGAGGAACTCTGTCTATTACAACTTTTATTTTCATTTTTCTAGTTAAAGCAATTTCTAATGAAGGATTGCTGCCACTAATTTTCTCTTTTCTTTTTTTCTGTTGTTTTCTGGTACAGTGGTATTATGGCTACAGACTGGCAGAGCTAGAAGTTCCTGGCTAATTAAGTTAAGAATATAGAATCTTAATAGACACAAGCTGGATACATAGAGAAATAGCAGTTGCAATATATTACACATGGCCTTTCTAGTCGGTTTCTAATGGGGTTCTTAGTTTTTGGTGACACTACCTGGGCAGAGTAAATTCCTACCTCTGATGTGAAATATGAGTCTACTGATACTAGGAGGTAGCAATTCTACATTTTCCTTAGAAATCTGAATCTTGTTCTTTTGCTGTTCTTTTCTGCTTCTGACACGAATCATCCAGGAAAAACAGTTATCAACAATCTTAATATTGGTTGAAATAACTAAACTCTCATGGCCCTGAAGCCAAACTCGTCATTTAATGATGCCTCATCTTCATGTAGAGTCAGCACACACTCACCTGCATCACCTTCTTTGCTTTTCGTTTTTTAGCATCTTGGAAAAAGGACTTCTCCATAGCTAGACATGGATACTCAATAATTTTACACATTTGACAGTCTGAGAAGGAAATGTATACAAGTGTTTCAAAAGTTAGGCTTTAATATTTCATTGAAATATACTTTACTACTTGCAAACAACAAACAATCCCTTGTCCTATGAATATTAACTTTTATTTAACTAGATATTTATTTAAATGGAATTATTTTGGGAAAATCAAAGAGTGACAGTGCAAGAGCATTATTTATTAAAGCCATAGGACTTGTGTTGAAATTCTACTTCAAAAAATGATAGCCAGGCGATCAATCCTGTTTTGGTACTCTTTCATTGTGAATCTTTCATTGAATCCATGAAGATTTAAATTCTTTTTGGATCGAAGAGGATGCAAAGATAATAAACCTATATATTTTACTAAATAATGCCCTTAAACAAAACAAAACCCTCCTATTATTTCTCACACAAGTTATGTTTTAGCTCCAATCTACTCAGAGATTAAACCCATGTTCATCATTATTATCCTATCATTATCACAACAATCAAATGCTTAAAATAAATGTATTACTTCTGAGAGCCATCTGTCAAAGTTTTGCTATGAACATAGCTGAGAGATAGAATTGGGAAGCCTGATACTGCATGTACTATGGACTGCTTCATCTCTAGTTTATTCCTAGGGCACCACAGGCCATTTTTCAAGCAAGCAATAATCTACGTGACTGGATCTTTGATCAAAAGATTCTGTCAGACAGGATGACTATTGCAGGTAGCAGGAAATAACTAAAGTGAACACAAACAGCCATTCTCCTTGGCCCATTTAATCTTTCTTAAACTCAGACAAATCTTCATTGTAATCCATTTCTAAATGATGTCTCCTATCATGATAGTAGGTAATGTGAAGGTATGGAAGCATGAAACAACAGATGCAACTGGAGAAATGCAAGGGGCTGGGGCTAGTGAAGGGCATCTGAGGTGCAGTGGAGGAAGATGAGTTTGGAAAGGTCACCAAAAGCCATGTAATGAAGGTCTTCAGTGATCAATGTTCTGGGGAGATGGCCATTTAAGAATTTTGGCAGGGCAGTGACATGATTGGATGTGCATTTTAAAAAGGTTAGCCTAACAGGCTTCTCAACCCAGAGCACTGTTGTTCAGAGTTTGGAAGTGTGTGTGTTTGCATGTGTGTGTATGTGTTTGGAAGGCATTTTATACATAAACTTTTTTATTTTGGAATAATTTCAGATCTCAAAAAAAACCCCTAAACTATAATGCTAGTAGAGACAGTTCCATATATTACTCACTCAATTTCCCTATTGTTAAACATCCTACATTACTATAGCACATTTTTCAAAACTAACATTATTGGTTCATTACTAAATTCCAGACATTAATTGAATGCCACCAGTTTTTCCACTAATGTCACCTTTTTGTTTCCAGGATCAAATTAGGATGTCACTTGCATTAAATGGCCATGTCTCTTTAGTGCCCTCTCGTCTGTGAGGTTACTCAGTTTTTTCGTTATTTGTGACCTTGACAGTTTGGGGAGTGCTGATCAGAAATTTTATAGATTGTTCCTCAATTTGGGTTTTTCTAAGATTTCTCTCATAGTTAGACCAAGTTTATGGCTTTTTTGAAAGAATATCACAGATGCAAAGTGCCCTTCTTGTCACATCCTATCTAGGGCTCCATTATGTTTTCATGACACCATTGGGGATGTTAAACTTCATCACATGTTTAAGATGGCGTTTGTAGGTCCCTCTGTGGAAACATTACTATTTTTTTAATTTCCCTACTCTTAATTGGAAGTCCGTCATACATCCAGCCCACCATTGGGTGGGGAGGGATAAAGCTTCTCCTCCTAAATAAGGAGTATCGACACCTACTATTTGGAATTCTTCTGTAAGGAAACTTTGTCTCTTTTCTTAGGAAGTGTTTGTTTTGTTATCAAAATGACTAGAAATACTACTAATTACTTGGTAGGATTCAAGGAAGCTAAGGGTCCTGAAATTTGTGGATTGGTCCTGCAGAGTGAACAATTACATGTCCCCAAACATCAGTAGCCCATCCTTTGAGAAACAGCCAATTTTCTCAGTGTAGGTAATGTCGTGCATTCTCAGCATGGATGATGTCACCTCCAAGGGTGTGAAAATTGGTTATTGGGAAAGGAAAAATCTTAATCTTGCTATGCATAAAGCATAGATATGTAAACAGTAAGTAAATAGATACATAAAATGCCTGCAGTATTAAAATTTCATGAGAGACAATTAGAGAAAAATGTCTAAAAGCTATTCTTAGGAAGTTGATAGTGAAAAAACAATTATTGAGAAACATTGGTCTGGCAGAAGAGTGGTGAATGTGTTGAACTTCAGAAGAGAAGAGACTGGGCAAGGAGAGGCAAGGGTATCAATGTGGAGGTTAATTCAGCTGATGCCCAGATCAGGTATATCATGTAATTAAATGAAAATGCTGCTTCTTTTCGTTTAGAATTGGCTTGTATGTGATTTTTCAGTTATTGTCTTTTTGTTGGTGGAGTTAGTAATCACTGAAAACAAGGCATAAAGTTTCTCAATAACTATTGTAGGGAAAAATAACACATAATATTTATTTAATCATGTTTTCCAAAGTCAATAATATTTTTGAAATGTACTGCTTCTGTATAACAGCATTCCTCATACTTCACAATGGCTTTATGTTGTAACTTCTCCCTAGCTTCACAGACATTTTCTGGATAGGTAAAGTTCCTGGGTTATTGGAAAACAAAGGAGTCAGCACTGTGCATTCTGTGATTCTATGTACAGAAAACCTAGAGATATGGCTGTAAGATTTCGTGCGTTTTTGTTTAAAAGGAAAATCTGAGGTTAAGCAATAAAATTTATTTTTTAGAAAGAGTGGAAGAGAATAAAAATCAAGTAGATATTTATCTTCTTTTGATTTAATCTTGAGAAAATATATGCTTAGAGAAAATTTGAAAAATAAAGAAAATATATATAACATATAATTTTATTACACTTTTAGTACATTGCTATCCAATGTTTTTCCATAAGTATAAATATATATACTTTTTCTTTTTAATGAACTTTATTTTTTAATAACTCCACAATATTCCAACATCGAAGGTATGTATATATGCATTTTCTATCAAATTTTCTCTTTCTTTCTATTCATTATTCAATTTCTTTAAATTCAAATAGCCTCTACTTAATATCACTTGCCTACTTTTATGAGCAGCTCTATCATTCTTCCTTTTCCGACTTCATGACCTTTAGCTATGCGAATTATCTAAGGCTGCCCTTTAAGCACCATTCTTCCACGGACAAAGCATAGAGGGAAGTTAAAAAAAAATCCCCAAGTCTTATTTAGCACAATGCAAAACTTTGAATGATTATGGAAATGAGTAGTTATATTTAATGCATCTCAGAGTCAGATGTGTGTATACGTTATAATGACACCAAAATAGAGGTCTTAAATGAGTTCAAGGACCCCAGTCAGGATTTGTGACTTCCCAGGGTACTGAAATAAGTAGGAAATTACATTGCCAAACCACTGATCTTTGAAGAATAATAGGGAGTGGGAGAGCAATAGGAAGACTGAAGACAGAAAAGTGATATCATGATCTTCAAAAAGATGAGGAAGTTATATTTCTTAAATAGTGAGTTGTGAGCATGACTTTAATACCCAATGAAGTTGACATTTTTGTTATATTTGGTTGCTTAACTTCCATTCCTACTTCCTAAGGCTATTACACATTTTCTTTGAAGTCTCTCCTCTTTCTGAATCTCAGGTCATAGGATTTGGCAGTCATGGTGGTGGCCATGGGGAGATTAACCCCATCCTCTGCCCTGTTGTGAGCTCTGAGGGACTTAAGCCAACCAGCATATTTTACTTCCCTAGTCCTAGTGATTTTTTGATGTGCAGGTATTAATACAATTGACCCACAACAGATAGGGCCAGAGCTTCTTTTAATCACTGGGAGGGAGTGGCTCCTCTCTCCAGGAGGGCTAAAGACCTGAGGAATATGAGATCTGGAAGTGGTGAAGGCCTCATGGGGCCTGCAGAAGAGAACATGATAAGTAACAAAGCCAACAAAAAGGATGGAATAGATGGTAGAGAATTGCATCCTTGTGCCCTCACTGGAGCCTCTTAATCTGACCAGGGCTGAGGACAAACTAACTCATCAAATGTTGAGTTACATAATTTTGAAAATTCCTTATTTACTTCTTCTACTTTCTTCTGACTACTTTATGGTTTCTGCTTGTTTTTGAAGTCTATGTTTTTCTTAGTTTCTTTAAAAAATGTATTATTATTATTTTTTAATTTTACTGTACTCAGGAACATTCTTCCTAGGTAATATTACCAATCTTCATGGTCTCAATGATAATCTCTGTGTTGATGACACCCAAACATTTATTTTCACTTTCTAAAGTGACAAATATCTATTTCTAAGATCCCTCTTCATTTATCTACTTGAGAATGCTTCATAACATGTTAGCTTTTCACAATGATGAAGCTGTCTCCTGTAATCTCAATTTCAGTTCATAGACTCACCATCTACCTATTTTTTTAAGCCCTACTTGTGACAACATTGGCACCTTCGTATATTCACCCCTAAGCCTGTCTGTCATCATGGTAGACTAATCATTCTTCAGCTTAGCATGTGTTAGACCTACTAGGTACCTACAGATTCCAATCCTTCCTCTCTCTGCCAAGATTTTGATTTATTTGGCCAGTGTTGGGGCCCAGGAATGTGTAATTTTATCAAGAGTCTCAGGTTGTTTATACACCAGATCGTGAGAAAAATGACATTTAGACCACAAAACTATTGGAGAAAAAGGTAATCACTTATTACATTTGTGTCCCCAGCATTTAGGAAAATGTTTAATACATAGTGAGTGATTAAAATATTGGAAAAAAACTGAATGGATCTTCAATTCAACAAACTTAAAAATGTCACTAATTCGGCCTCTTCATCATTAAATCTGCCACTGTTTTAGTCTACTGAGAATTGATCTGTGGTATTAAACATACTAGGATTTCTGAATGAGGTCTGTATATCTGTGTTGTTAAATATTAGCCCAAAAATAATAGCCCAAGTTATCTTTATGAAATGAAGAAGGCAGAAAGGTTAAAGAACCAGTAGGTGACTTCCTCATTATACTTCACGTTTATACTAAGAAACATATCCCTATCAACAGTTTCTCTTTACTACAGTTGATTCCCATACTTACACAGGAGCTACCTTTGCAAAACACAAATTTACGTGTTATTCCCTTGTTATAAACATTTGGGTGGGCTCCACATTTCGTATAAGATAGCATCCCTAAACAGTGATCTCTTTCATGCCTAGATGTTTTTGTGTGTGTTTCTTCTTTGGAATGCCTTACAGTCTCTAATGAAAAGTGACAGATGATTGATAGCATCCCTCCCATCAAGATCCAGCTAAGTGCCACCTCCTCAGTGAGGCAGTAAACCTCTCTCAAGCAAAACTATTGCTGCATCCTATCCCACTCTGAGAAGAGTTTTCTTTGTATCTCTTATAGCATTGCCATGTCGTGTTCCATTATTTCCATCTGCATACCCTTTGTTTGCAAGCATGAGGGTTATATTCCCAGAGTTACTAAATATCTTAGTAGTAGCTGAATATTTAAATCAAGCTTATGAATCAAACTCATTAAAATATTAGAGGCTTTTACCAGCAGGTTCCAGATGTATTGCAAATGTGAATGTCTGAAATGCTCATGGCTCGTGATTGATGGTGTTACCAATGTTCCGTGGAACAGATGACAAAGAGTTTCCTATAGGAAACGTTACTGGGCTAGCAAAACCAAGGATGTCCACTATACAGTATTTTGAGGATAAACACCAAGCCCTTTAGTGTTACTTGCAAGGGATTTCATTTTCTGGTACCAGTTACATCATCAACTTCATTTCTTTCTCTTATTTTCCTCATATGCTGTACTCTAGCCATAATGAACTGCTTACAAGGATTAAATCAAATGCAGTATCTTTTTCCTCTTCTCTTTTGCATGACTTGTTTATTATGCTTAGAAAGCTCCCTTCTCTTTTCCCTCCACCCTCCCAGAAAATTTCTGAGCTCAGTTCAGGTTTCAATTCCCTGCTGCTTGGTCTGTTGCAAGAGCCCATCCTCTGTGCCTCTAAATGAGCCCATGCCTGGGGCTATTTTACTCTTTACATGGAGATTTATTTCTTTTATGATAAACCCTGAGCTTTATCAGGAGAGATAAAGTCATATGAGGCCTGTATACTCTGTAGCTAGCACAGAACTGAATAAATTTATTAATGAAGAAATAACTAAATAAGTGATAATTATTAATAGTTACTGTACTTGGATAATTAATATGTTAATATATAAGCTACTTAATATTATGAGTCCTTCCAGGCAGGAGAATAATGAGGCTTTATTAATGTCCCCTCCCCATCTGAACACAAAACAACCTACTTTTTCCCCTAAGGCCACTCACTTAACAAATTTTTTAAATAATAGTTCCTGGACCTATGGAATTTGCTGATCAGCATAATTGAAAGAGAAGATCATAGTGTTACACCCAACTTAATATGCATTACAGCATTACTGAACTTTTATATTTATCCTTTGTTGTGCTAAGTAAGAATTAGTTTTCTTATTCTATTTTAAAAAATAATTTGTAGAAAAACTCAGTTACTGTTTTTACAAAAGCATAATTCAGGTCTTAATTTAGATAATAAGCTATATCTCAGAGAGGAAAGAGGTATGTCCCTTAAAAATCATTTTGCATCTAGACAAGAGTAATTTTAATCCAAAACATTTGCAGGGAGACCTCCTGTTCAAGGTGGCATCATCAGAACAATGTAATAGCAAAATCTATATTCACAGCTTTTACTGGGAAGAGATGCTTCAAATTCATCATTATCATAGTTCTATAACCTTTATACTTTCTGACTAAGTTAAATTTGGACATGAAAGCAAAAGACAAATTAGATAAATAGTCTTTACCACTAAGTCTCCTATCAAGAGTGGGAAAAAAAGTTCTGCGAAACTATCAGGATATAAATAATCCTGATTTTTCTTTTTATCTTCCTTTTATTTCTCCTCCTCCTCCTTTCCTCCTCTTTCTTCTCCCTCCCCTCCCCTCTCGAGATCGCAATTGAGATTCTCAATTTAAATTGTAAGATAAAAAATCTTAGGAGAACTTAAATAGTAATTTTTGTCTTATTTCCTTTTTTTTGTGTTAGTAGTTTTCTGTATTATATTTTTAATGAAACAAATTTGTATTTGTGGAAAACACGATGGTATGCCCACCTCCAAGTACAGGAGTACCATATGTAAGTGAGCTGTTGAATATTATAGTGTTTCTAGAACTGTGTTGTCCGCATATGGCTGTTTAAATTAATTAAATTTACGTAAAATTAAAAATCCGGTTTCTCACTCATGCTAGCTACATTTCAAGTGCTCAGTAGGCACATAAGTCTACCATTGTGTACAAGGTACTTTATGCATTGTGTATGAAGTAAGGCATAGAATCAGTTTTTATCCCACCTCTTTTGGCAAAATAATTCTGACCTGCTCCTTTCCTTCCACATTTCACCCGGATCACATCTCTTTGCCCTCAACTTTCATGAGATCCTCTATCTTTCTTTCATAAACGTGCATTGATTATTAGTTACCAAATCTTCACTGCTCTAAGATCCATTAGGAAAAGCACTATTGTAGTAAACAGATTCACTGAGTATGTCTGAATGAAAGAGTGGATGGGATGGTGTGGTTTGGGAAAAGTTAGGCAAAATAGCAGAAGGGATGTGGAGGCTACAGAAGAATAGAAACAAAAATAAGACATAATTTTTATTTTATTTATTTTTAAAATTGTGTTTTATTTTAGATTCTGAAGGTACATGTGCATGTTTGTTACATGGGTATATTGTTTACTGGTGGGGATTGGGCTTCTAGTATACCTATTACCCAAATAGCGAACATTGTAGCAGGTAGATAATTTTTTAACACTTGCCCCCCCTCTCCACAATTTTATTTTTAGGTGAAATTGTTTATACCCCTAATCAGGTGAATGCTTATTGCCTCTGATCCCACACTCAATCAATGTGACATGTTCTTTCTAAAATAATGTCATTTTGGCATCCTACTTGACTATCTTCTCAAGAAAGATTTGTGTGTGTGTATATATGTGTGTGTGTCGCTACTTCTTTCTCTATGTAGACACAGTTTCCTTCAATAGCAGGAAAAAAATGATTTGAAGATCTTGTTAGGAATTCATACTGAGATTAGAGAGGATACTTCAAAGGACACACTTGAAGATCCTTATCTAATATACCCTAAAGATAATCACATAAAAATTCCACCTAGGATTGAAACTACAGTTATTATATTCCTTAATAAGGCAATAATTTTCCTTTTGTCCCAACTACAGAATGTTCTTCATTTTTAACTTTCAGATATGACATGATTATCTGACTTTATGAAGTTATAAAGTTGCAACTAAATTTTCAGATTGCTTTTAGTTTTAAAAGAAGAAGAAGAAGAAAAAACCAGTTAGAGCACACTATTTCCCAGGTGGTGAGCAGCAATACTGCCACTGCTTTATTATTATTATTATTTGATGGAATATGATGGATAGAAAATTATTTACCTACTAGCAGAAAAAACATTAATGCTGCAAAATTCATTTGTCTAAAGTTAAAGGCAAATATATTACCCTTTACAAATAAAATGTAATCTCTGCTATTCATCTTTTTCTACTTAACAGTTTCATTAACACAGCATTATTTAGCAATCACCTTAAAGCTTCCTTCTTGGATCTATCAAATACCATGGTTGCAGATTAATCAAAAATTCTTTATTTCAGCTATTTCCTTGTAAACTTCTGTTTGTCTTCTACCTTTTGGTTTGTTCAATTTCCCTAATGTTAAACATTATGACAAATAGACTACGTCGAATTATTTACGGTTAAGTGGCAAGTACACAGCAAGCTGTCAGTCACATGGCATTTTACTAAAGACGCTGAATGCATATTTTCCTGGGAATTCACTCTGTACAATATAATTAATATAGCTAAAGAGATCATGCTGGGTAAAAATGTGGTTCTAGTGGGATATTAAAGAAAGAAAAGGTTAACATTTTTTTACTGGTGGCTATAAAACTATCACAAAGATTTCTCCTCTTTTCTTGTCGTCTTTTTTGGTGTATAGTAGGATAAAACACTTGCAAATGAATAGGTTATAAATTAGACATGTATTGTACCCTACTCAGTGTTAAGTGCTTATGAAGAATCTGATCCTTTAATAAACAATCTACATAATGAGACAGAATTTCTTTGTTCTATAAAATAGTGGATGAATTACAATTTTGATGACCCTGCAAAAATAATGGTTAATTGTAACCATATTCTTATTTTCTAAAGCAAAATTGTGACCCTCTGTCTTTGAATCTAAGTCCTTTTTCTCAATATAGGGCTTATAACAAGGTATAATTTTCTTTTAATTTGAAGTTAATGCATGAAAATCACAAGGAAAAAAATGAACATAAAGTTACTTTTACTTTTTTTTTTTTTTTTTTTTTTGAGACGGAGTCTTGCTCTGTCGCCCAGCCTGGAGTGCAATGGCGTGATCTTGACTCAGAGCAACCTCCGCCTCCCAGTTTCAAGAGATTCTCCTGCCTCAGCCTCCCGAGTAGCTGGGATTACAGGCATGCGCCACCATGCCAGGCTAATTTTGTATTTTTAGTAGAGATGTGGTTTCTGCATGTTGGTCAGGCTGGTCTCGAACTCCCTACCTCAGGTGATCCGCCTGCCTTGGCTCCCAAAGTGCTGGGATTACAGGTGTGAGCCACCGTGCCCAGCCTACTTTTACTTTTAAACAAACGATCATTTAGGGAGTTCTCTTATTTTAGGAAAAGAGAAGCTATTTAAGTGGAGAATGTGATAAAATAAACAAACTTAAAACATGACTTCGAGGTTGGGTAAGAACAGAGAGTTTTAGATAGAAGAATTTAGCTGCATTTTTATATTTTTCCTTATGGTCAGAGAAGGCATAAAAATCCTACTTTAATATTTTAATAGTGATGGATGCTTACTGAGTAAGAAAACCTGTGCTGGACATTCTGGGTATAATGAAGAATAGGGTACATTCCATAATCTTTCTTCTGTGACAGACATACAAAAAAGTTTTAAAACCATCATAGTAAGAATAAGAACAGAATGTATCAGGACATTCAGAGTAGCCTAGGTGAGGATGTGGTTACATCTATCTGGAATATCATTAAAAGTTTCCCCAAGGAGGTAGTTAGGATGATTGGTATTAAAGGAAGAACTAACAGACTGCTTTTGTATGCCAATACGTTATGACATTAAGAGTGCTTTTCTCTGTTTTATTTTACCAATCCATTAAATAAAGATGGCTCTAGATGCATACAACCTTAGCCTAGTGAACATTCAAATGCCAACATGTAATTCATTCAAAATAATCTGCAGGCCTCAAAAGAAGACATTTATGCAGCCAAAAAACACATGAAAAAGTGCTCATCATCACTGGCCATCAGAAAAATGCAAATCAAAACCACAATGAGATACCATCTCACACCAGTTAGAATGGTGATCATTAAAAAGTCAGGAAACAACAGGTGCTGGAGAGGATGTGGAGAAACAGGAACACTTTTACACTGTTGGTGGGACTGTAAACTAGTTCAGCCATTGTGGATGTCAGTGTGGTGATTCTTCAGGGATCTAGAACTAGAAATACCATTTGACCCAGCCATCCCATTACTGGGTATATATCCAAAGGATTATAAATCATGCTGCTATAAAGACACATGCACACATATGTTTATAGCAGCACTATTCACAATAGCAAAGACTTGGAACCAACCCAAATATCCAACAGCAATAGACTGGATTAAGAAAATGTGGCCCATATACATCATGGAATACTATGCAGCCATAAAAAATGATGAGTTCATGTCCTTTGTAGGGGCATGGATGAAACTGGAAACCACTGTTCTCAGCAAACTGTCGCAAGGACAAAAAACCAAACACCTCATGTTCTCACTCATAGGTGGGAACTGAACAATGAGAACACATGGACACAGGAAGGGGAACATCATACTCCGGGGACTGTTGTGGGGTGGGGGGAGTGGGGAGGGATAGCATTAGGAGATATACCTAATGTAAATGACGAGTTAATGGGTGCAGCACACCAACATGGCACATGTATACACATGTAACAAACCTGTACATCGTGTACATGTACCCTAAAACTTAAAGTATAATAACAATAAAATAAAATAAAATAAATAATAATCTGCAGGCTTTTGAATTCAATAAAAAATCAATGTTAAAACACACATAGAAGAAAAAGGTTTTTTTTGTGTGTGTTGTTAATAATGTGTCACTTACTATATGGGGTATGTTGAATTGTCACTGCAGAATCCCTTAGTCTCTATAAGTGGCAAATCTAGGATAATGTAACAGAGAAGTAATAACGAAATAGAGTTGTTTGGCTATAAGCAGGAATCATAGCTGTAACGTACCTATAAAGACCATTTAATTAATTCAGTCGACATCTGCCTTAATCACTGGTGAAAATTAAGCCACGTTTGACCAACAACTCAAAACGTAATTCAGTTAGTAAACTATTGAAAACAAATAGGGGAAAAAGTACTTTCCATGTACTTGTTTTTAAATATTCATGCTATTGAACCATTCCCACTAAATGCATAAATGACAACATAATATTCAACTGTAACAGTTGGTGGAAGCCATTTTAAGTAGCAGTTTAACAAACAGAGATGAATTTTAATTTGCAATGCCAGTTGAGCTGTAATAAAAACTAGTATTCCAGCTGTGGGAAAAACAAAACAAAAAAAAGACCCACACAGCTTGGTTAGAGTTATTTACAGTTTTTTTTTTTTAATACTTTACAGTACAATGAAACCATCTTGTTTCTATCCACACCAGAAGTTTGTTAAATCTCAAAATACATCTTAGGAAATGCAAAAAGCATGTCTCTTTAGGGAAATAAAAATATCTTTGTTGTATTAGATTACAGTGTTCAATTTAGTACAAGTTAACTTAGCAAGCTAAGTGTGCTATAGTTTTTGCACTATTTCAAAAATTGTGAGGGTTACTTTAGAGTAAATGAAAAACCCGTAGTTACTTTTAAAACTAATAAAAAAAGGTACTTTCTAACATTGAGTTCACAAAAATATATACTTTGCATTCAATGCTTACTTGCTTGGTTGATATTTTATTAACAAAAATATTAACTTCTTGTTTATCAGGAGCTCATTTTAGAGAAATTTTTTTCATTCCTAACTATAAACACCAAATAATTTCAGTTAAAATGTTTCATAGATCTATAATCATATTCCCAAAATGATTGCCTCACTTGTAAATAATAACTAGATCTGAGGAAATGGGCATCATACGTTTCCAATTTAATATGACATTTCACTGTGATTTTAAGAAACGAGGGTCTCGCTCTGTCACCCAGATTGGAGTGGAGTGGTGCAATCAGACCTTGCTGCAGCCTGCAGCCTCACAGTCCTGGGCTCAAGCAATCCTCCCACTTCAGCCGCCCAAGTAGCAGGGACTACGGGCATGCACCAAAATGCCTGGCTAATTTTACTATGATTTTTAAAATTATGCTGCCACTTAAAAAACTAGTTACTCATAGGATTATGTAGATTTAACGATATAATTTTATTTTAATTTTTTAAAAATGGAGATGATAAAAAGAATAATGATAAGAAAGAAGAAAAAAGAACAGTATTTACAGGAGAAGCCCTTCTCTATCTTCTAAGAATGTTGAGGTGCAAGAAAGATACTTTATGTGCTGAATGGGGAGACTATGGGACCATGGATGCTAAGCAAAGAAGCAGAAAGCAAGGCACAGTGCTTTACATGAGGAAAGGGATTCCTTTGACCCTGTGGTAGAACCCAGCAAGGAAGGATGAAGTGGAGAAATGCAGGAGGCATGAAGGCAGGGAAACTAGGGGAGTGGAGGATGGATAGGGGTGGGAATAAAAAGTAAGAGAGACACAGAGACAAGGAAAGCATGACTGAGAGTTCAAAGCATAGACAGCTCAGTAGAGGAAATGAAGGGAAGAAGACAGATCATGAAATCGAATATTGAGGTGGTTTTGCTTTATGAGTGAAGTGTAAGATCACTTCTCTACTTAGGAGAACTTTACTACAATATTACATTGGTCAGCACACACTTTGAAATAGGATCTGTGGTCTTTGGATTTGAAAATATTCCGAGACTTGTCCTAAGGAAGACACAGTGGAGAGCTGAGGTCAGCCAAGTAACTAAAATTTAAGTTATGTATGTGCCATTCCACAGTCATCAATGTTTACTTTTCTTTATGTAGAAGAATGTATAAGCTTTTGATATATGATTAAGCCAAATATTATAAAATATTCCTTCACTGGTATATCCAATTTTCAAAGGAGGACAGAAACAATTTGTTTTTATTTCCCTTTGATATTAGTGCCCTGCACAGGGCCTGGCACACAGCAGGTACATAATAAAATATTTTTTGAAGGAATGAATGCAAAAATAGATTTTTTTCCGCAGAATATGCAGTTTTTGCTCTTGTTTGATATTACTATTGTTATCACTGTTATTATCTTAATAAAGTGTATTTGAACCTTTCAGCATGCTCAGATTTCCAAGTATGACTTTTCAGTTTTATTTGGTTTAAAAATCCGACATTGTAACGGGTGCCGCTACGGCTGCACTTCGAATCACTTAATTTCTCAAAATAGTGTCAGTGAAAACTCTCTATGTTGAGCACAGCCATGCAACAAAAGCCGTAACTTCCTGTAATGAAACCTAATGAAAAATCTCTGGGCTAGATTAGATGGTGTTCTGATGTGAGGCCAAGCAAAAGAGAACACTTAAGAGAAGGCTGTGGAGTTGAAATTACACTTTGTAGAAGAACAGGCAGGACGCATGAGGAACTGAAGGCAGTATACCAAAGCACCAGCGGGGTTAGCTGCATTTTTTTTAAACCTTCCTGAAGACTGGCTGTGAAAGCCAACTGCTTCTAGAGAGATGTCAGCGTGAGCTGCAATAGACCTATTTTCTGCGTCCAACATCAAGATGTGCGGTCTGGCAGGCATGAGGGTATTTGTATGGACAATGGCTCTAAGTATTTGAAATAGGAACTGCCATATAATAGTGTGTTACCCTCCAATTCCTGGAGATTCAAAGATAATTTTAAAAAGGAATACATAGGGAGACGTGAGTAAGAGGTAGAGACAGAAATGTAAGTACAGAGGAAAAGTTAAGAGAGATTTTAGAATGTATCAAGAAGAAAACTTAAATGAGCACAGTGACCTCATATCAGGTCTCTGGAGCTCACACCTTCCAAATTTTCAGGAAAATGAACTGCATAAGAAAATAATTATATACATTTACAATGCAAAGCATTTAACTAAGAAAATTAAATATGTCTTTTAGACACTCAGGACAACTCATTTTCAATACCAAAATAACAGAAAAAAAAAATCATCAGAATACTGGCTGGTGAATGGATGACCAAGAATGAAATTGGAAGGATTTTCTTGGGTCACTTTATTTATTTAACCAGAATATATTTATTTTATAATATGAGCATGAGACTATGCTAGGCATTTTGGGGGATACCCAAGAAGTAGAAATGCGACTAAATCCTAATTTATGCACAGCCTTATTTCAAGATCAGGCATTTTCTTATAATAAAATCAGAGAGGCGGGGCGCGGTGGCTCACGCCTGTAATCCCAGCACTTTGGGAGGCTGAGGCAGGCAGATCAGGAGGTCAGGAGATCGAGACCATTCGGGCTAACATGGTGAAACCCCGTCTCTACTAAAAATACAAAAAACTAGCCGGGTGTGGTGGCGGGCGCCTGTAGTCCCAGCTGCTCGGGAGGCTGAGGCAGGAGAATGGCGTGAACCCGGGAGGCGGAGCTTGCAGTGAGCCGAGATCACGCCACTGCACTCCAGCCTGGGCGACAGAGCGAGACTCCCTCTCAAAAAAAAAAAAAAAAAAAAATCAGAGAGACAGCCCAGTGTTTGTGGCAAAATTGGCAAAGCTGGCTTCCACTTCTAGCCCTAACTCCTACCTGTGTGACTGGGGACAAGCCAGTAAACTTCGCTTTACCTACATTTCTCACCTATGCTACAAGGAATGCCTAAAGATATTCAGAGAAGTGTTGGGAGAATGTTTCCCATATGGTTCCTGGTGCTTATTTGATCCTTACTTTGATCCTGGTGCTTATTTTATCTATCACATGTACCCGCCAAATATGTACATTTATTATGTATCAATAAATAAAGAACACAAATAAAAACTTTCAGCTTTGCCTGCTAATAAAGCAACAATCTGTATACATAATAAATATTTTAATGTGGGCGTGGATCAAGGAACCAATTAAGTGCTTTAATAAAGTAGAAATTAGGCCAACTTAAAAATAGGAAAAATATACTTTAAGAAGTAAATTTTGGAAAGCAAAAGAAACAGCAATAAGAGTTGTGTGGTTATTCAGTGTGTAAGTTGGCACATTTCAGAATCACACAGCTTGGGTTTGAACCCTGGCTCCACAACTTTATCTGCAAAATGGGTGTACTAACAGTATCAACCTCACAATGCTGTGAAGACAATACACTTAAGAGTGAGACGTTCAGGGCTGCGCTTGGCGTGTAGTAAGCACTCAATAATAGCTAACTAACATTGATTGGTATTATTATTCTGACAACTTAAGTCGTTACCTGCCGTGTCAAACTTCCATATTAAATGCCCTCAAGGCTACTGTGGTTATCTTTCCCTGTGCGGACCACAGTTCAAAATTCCAAAAATTAAAAAAAAAAAGTATTTGTGTAAACATTAATTTGGTGACCGGCTTCCTCGGCATCCAGTAAGCTTCCTGAAAGCAGGCCTCATGTTCTCGATCATCAGCAATACTTCTCCAGTGCCTGCCCAGCTTGGTAAGCACTGAAATAACATTGAATAATGGAATAAATGGAAAGAAAAAGATACGTGGCTATCTCCAAGGGGTTTGTTTGTTTGTTTGTTTATTCATTGAGACAGAGTCTTGCTCTGTCGCCCAGGCTGGAGTGCAGTGGCCCCATCTCAGCTCACTGCAACCTCCGCCTCCCAGGTTCAAGGGATTCTCCCGCCTCTGCCTTTCTAGTAGCTGGAATTACAGGCACGCACCACCACACCCAGCTAATTTTTGTATTTTTAGTAGAGACAAGAGTTTCACCATGTTAGCCAGGCTGGTCTGGAACTCCTGACCTCAAGTGATCCAACTGCCTCAGCCTCCCAAACTGCTGAGATTACAGGCATGAGGCACTGCACCCGGCCTCCAAGGGCTATTTTTAAAGTGTAGTTTGGCTTTAATTTTTCATCTTCATCACATCGTTTTCCTATTCAAAGTGTATATGTAAGACAGCACACTGAAGCAGTACAGAATATTTATTAGCAGGCTGAGAAGAAGAAGAAAAGGAGGCCATTTACATGTAAATGTATGCTTTACGTAGCCCCTGATGGAGAATACCCAAAGGGTACCACCAGCTTCCTTAAGTAGTTATTGGAAGTCTAATTCAGGTAGGTTAATTGTAGGGTAGTAGAGGTGTGTGCTGGCCTGTGCAAAATAGCAGAGGGGAGACTGGCAAGCTGCCTCCGCTGGCTGCAGAATATAATAATGTTACAGCATCTGCTTCCTCTGGCTTTCGCATGTCACTAGTCAAGAGTAACTTGGAAGAAATGAAAATATTTCTCCAGATTAAAAAAAAACTTTCTCCTGACCCATTAAGTTATTATACTAAGAACAACTTAAGTTGTATCATTGGTCTTAATGAAAACTTTTGAAATTCATGAGGGCCTCTGGGGTAAGAACTGAGACTGTTTTTCTTCCCTAGCACAAGCCTTATCTCATATGCAAGGAGATCTGGCTTTAAATACTTATAGCAACACTTACAAAGAGTGTGCCTCGGGGTACACTTTCTAGCTTCTCACAACTTTGACTTCCACTTCTGCAAATCATGGATAAATAGTATTTGGCTCACAACCTTAACAGATTAGATAAGATGATCAATGAACAGCAAATAGCGTAGTGTCTGTCACCTACTAAGTACTCAGACAATGTTAGTGCTCTCTTCCTTAAGCTGGTTGGCAGTTTCTTATAAAGTTAAATATACCTTAAAACCCAGCCCTTCCACTCCTAGAATTTTACCCAAAATAAATAAAAATGGGTGATCACAAAAATATTTATGGAAGAATCCTTAAGAGCCAAAAACTGGACAGAAGAAAGCAGCCACAACTATACATAAACAAATATGTGCTTTTATAGATAAACAAACTGTACTTTTACCTACTGGATGAAATACTACTCAGAAATGAAAGAGAATGAACTACTAATATAGGGAGCAACATGGATAAAGCTCTCAAACATTATGTTTTAGAAGCCAGACACAAAAGATTATATACTATACTATTTTTTAATCTATGCATTTACAGAACAGACAAAATTAATCTATGAGGATGAAAGTCAAAACAGTGGCTTCCTCTGGAGGAGGGGGATCAGCTGCAAATAGAGCAAAGGAAGTTTTCTGGAGCGATGGAAAAGTTCTATAAGTGGACTAGAATATTGGTTTTTGTGTATACCCATTTGTCAAATTCCTCAGTTCCATATGTGACCCTTTATACTTTTTACTTTGTTAAGAAACAATTTTTAAAAATTAAAGGCAAAGAATACATCTTTCTAATGTTTTCCTCTTGAGCCCAAAAAGATTCCAGACAAATAGTAAATGAGTACATTTGTTGATGTAAATGTTCTTGCTATATACATGTATTTGCATACCTTTATCCTTTGTATATGTCTATTTATACACTTACAGACACATATACATGGCATAATGCATACTTTACCTATGATACACACCACCCACTACCCTCAGCCGCAACTATACCAATACATGTGTTCTGGCCATGTCACCTGCTGCTGGTTTAACTCCTAAATTAAGTTGTAAACTGCCAGAGGCTGAAGTCAATTATTTTTCTTTTCCTTTCTCTTACTCATCTACTATTGTTGCCGAGATATAAATTCTCAGTAAGTGCACAGAGGAAGGATACAAATGTGGGAAAAAAAATCTTTTTTTTTTTTTTTTTTGAAGTGAAGTCTCCCTCTGTCACCCAGGCTGGAGTGCAGTGGTACAGTCTCGGTTCACTGCAACTTCCGTCTCCTGGGTTCAAGCAATTCTTCTGCCTCAGCCTCCCCAATAACTGGGATTACAGGTGCGTGCCACCACGCCTGGCTAGTTATTTTTTATTTTCAGTAGAGATGGGGTTTTGCCATGTTGGCCAGGCTGGTCTCGATCTCCTGACCTCAAATAATCCACCTGCCTTGGCCTCCCAAAAGTGCTGGGATTATAAGCATGAGCCACTGCGCCCGACAGGAAAACAGCTATTTGAAAACCACCTTTGTTTTCTTTGAAAGTGTATCCACCTTGGGAAATCTTAATATACATTTTATTTTTCCTTTTTTTATTGTGATAATTAGAATTAAATCGCTTTTTGTCAGTAATACTAGACATATCACTACAATAATAATTTGCCTTTTTACTATTTTACTATTTTTTACTGACTTGATTTAGTGGATAATTTCTCTTTTATTTCCAGTTTTATGGAGGAGTAATTGAACAATACAAATTATATATATTGAAGGTGTAAGGTGTGATAATGTATGTGTACATTTTATAATGATTATCACATTACATTCATTATCACTTTCAGTATTTTCATTACACTGTATATTATCATAGACTAAGAGAAGTCTAAAGCTTGCCTACCATGAATCATTAAAATGTCACATTTTGGCTTCATGATTTTTTCAGAAATGTATTCTATTTCGATTTAGCCACTTAGGTCTGGCAAGAGAAGACTTACTTTTTTTCAACTTATATTTATTTGTTCAGAGTTTTTAGAGGTACTCAGGTGGGTATTAAATACTCTCTCTTTTAATTTTTAAAATGTTATTGACCCTGATTTATAGTTTATTGGATAAACTAAGTTTGAATGAATAAAGCTTCAGAAATCTGAAATTTATATTTAATGAGCCTAAATGTTTTAACTTCTAATTTGACCTATGTTAAAATTCTAGTATGAGACCACTTTAATTTCGGAATGTGTTCCATGAAGAGACCAAGAGTACTGGAGTACTTCCAGAAATGCTTTGTAGTCAGAAATTCAGAATTTCTTTCTTTCTTTCTTCTTCTTCTTTTTTTTTTTTTTTGTATTTTAGTAGAGACGGGGTTTCACCATGTTGGCCAGGATGGTCTCGAACTCCTGACCTTATGATCCACCCACCTCGGCCTCCCAAAGTGCTGGGATTACAGGCGTGAGTCACTGCACCTGGCCAAAATTCAGAATTTCATGTAACATTTTCAAGTCACTGAGTTACTAAACTTCATGTAAAAACTTTTTACTATTTTTGAATTATCTCTAAATTGTATACTGTACCTTAACAAAATATCCTATTTTAATACAGGCAGAAATATAGCCCAAAAAATAAGAAATCATATTAATTAATCCATTCATACAGCAAGTATTTGGGACATGCTTAATACATTTCATTCATCATGTCAGGCAATGATAAAGCAAAGTTGAGTGAAATCTGTCTTCACTCTTAAGTAGGAACTGTATCGATAATATATATATATATAGTAGCATTTGTTATCATTACTATAGTCATCTTGATCAAACTGGACACTATGTCTACTATTTCACTACTGTTCCCCAGGGGCAGGCACAATAGCAGCTCCCCAAAGATGTCTACATCCTAATCCCCAGAACCTGTGAATATTTGCAAAAGAGACTTTGGCAAATGTGATGAAGTAAAGGATTCTGAGATGGGATTATTATTCTGGATCATCTGGATGGGTACAATGTAGTCATTAACTCTTTGTAAGTGAAAGAGGAAGGCAAGTGAGTCAGTCCAGGAAGATGTGGCAACAGAAGTAGAGATTAGGGTGATATCATTCCTGACTTTCAAGATGGAAAGGGGTCATGAGCCGGGAAATACAGGCCGTCTAAAAAAAAAAAAAAAAAAGAATTTGGATTCTTTCTTAGAACCTCCAGAAGAAACTCAGTCCTGCCAGTACCTTGATTTAAGACCAGTGATACCCATTTTAGACTTCTGCCATCTAGAGATTTAAAATAATAAATTTCTATTGTTTTAAGCCACTAAGTTCTGGTTAATTTATCACAGCAGCAATGGGAAACTAATAACATCCTCCATTCACTGGGCCCCACCCTGAGAAAATCTTCACAAATAAAGAAGTTTGAGCCTCAGTTTCTTTATGTTCAAATGAAGACAAAGAAAGTTCAATTAAGTTTCACAAATCATATATTTAATGCATGACTGCACGAAACTAACATCTCATGATATCAATTCTACACCAGTTCTAAACTAGAAATTCCTCAGAGACAAGGTGATGATCCTATCAGTAAATGATTGCAATATAATGAGTTTGAACTAAAGCAGAGGTATGTGCAATATGGGGTGGTAGTGGGTGATGGTGGCTGAGTTAGCAACAGAAACACTCAATTCAGTAACAATGAGTGAGGCCCCTTTAAAAGTAGGTTCTTTGTTCTTTTTTTTTTTTCTTCTTTTTTTTTTTTTTTTGAGAGTGAGGAGTCTCACTGTTGCCCAGACTGGAGAGCAGTGGCACCATCTCAGCTCATTGCAGCCTCCTCTATCTCCTGGGTTCCAGCAATTCTCCTGCCTCAGCCTGCCAGGTAGCTGGGATTACGGGAATGCACCACCATGCCCAGCTAATTTTTGTATTTTCAGTAGAGGTGAGATTTCACCATGTTGGCCAGGCTGGTCTCGAACTCCTGACCTCAGGTGACCCATCATCCTCGGCCTCCAAAGGGCTAGGATTACAGGCATGAGCCACTGTAAAAAAGTGTAAAACCACTTAAAAGTAGGTTCTAAGACAGGAATTAAGCAGGACTGATTTGGAAGAAAAGGAGTCAGAAGACTCATCTGATAAGAGAGGATACAGTAAATAAATCAGCTTAAACTAGCCAGAACCAAGTGACAGCAAAAGCAGCCTTCACTTCTCATTGTACCCTCATTATAATGCATTTCCCTACTGAAAAACACACCCCCTTCACGATGTGACAGTTTATGTTTGCCATAGCAACCACCAGAAGAAGCCATACGTGGTTAAAAAAAAAAAAAAAAAAAAAAAAAGCCCTTCCTAGGTTCCTGGAAATCCTCACCTCTTTCCCCTGAAAGCCTATGAATAACTCTCCCCCTAATTACATATATTAAATGCAATCAATAAAACAGCTAACCCAAGACCCTCCCAGTACATCTCCTCTCTGAGATTCCCCCACTGTGTCTGTAGAGCAGTATTTGCAATAAGCTTCACTTTTCACTTTGCACTTGTGATTTGCTCTTGAATTTTTTATTGAAATCAAGAACCTACATCTCCCACAACTCCCTAGGGGATTGGAGGTTCTTGCCCAGCATCAGTTCTACTGTCATCCTATACAATAGATGAAGAAACAGGTTTATAGTAGATAGGAAGTTTGCCACAGACACACAACAAGAAAGTAGGCAGCCACAATTTTAGTTTACGTTTGTCAGACTCAATGTTTAACTGTTACAAAAAGCAGCCACCTATAGTTTCTGGTAAAGAAATAAAGCCAGGGGTTGGTTGTGCTGGTGATGAAGAATGTCTTTACAGGTAAAAAATAGCTTCATCTAGATCATGAATGATAGGAGGACTTGAGACCCAAGGTTGATTAAAGGATAAAAGACATTCCAGAAAATGAACAGCATGAAGATAATGAAACTCCACATGACTGGCTGGGTGTGGTGGCTCATGCCTGTATTCCCAGCACTTTGGGAGGCTGAGGTGGGTGGATCACCTGAGGTCAGGAGTTCGATACTAGCCTGGCCAACATGGTGAAACCCTGTCTCTACTAACAGTACAAAAAATTTAGCCAGGCATGGTGGCAGGAGCCTGTAATCCCAGCTACTTAGGAGGCTGAGGTAGGAGAATTGCTTGAACCCGGGAGGTGGAGGTTGCAATGAGCCAAGATCGTGCCACTGCACTCCAGCCTGGGCAACAAGAGCGAGACTGTATCTCAAAAAAGAAAAAAAAGGAAGAGAAACTCCACAAGACTTTGGAAAACCTCCAGTGGTTTGAAATAAAAAGATCTTAAGGTTTAAGAGAGAATGTATTAGTCAGAGAAAGCTATTGTCAAAGCACACCAAAATATCAGTGAGATGACACAATAAAATTGTATTTGTTATTTATATCAAGGTCCAAAAAGAGTCTACCTCATCTGCATACTCTTTCTCATGGCTCTCCACCAAATCATGTTTCTGGGATCCAGGAGATTTACATTGTGTGGCTCTGACATCCCTTAGGTCTTGAAGTCCTTCTTACCAGCCATGTGAAAGGGGAAAAAAGAGTATTTGGAAAAGCCCAGAAGAGATTTTAAGATGTTGGTTAATATTTTCGATGAGTTGTGTAACAGTGTACAATATTTTGTGGAGAGAAAAGGCCCATCTGATTCACAAATTTGTCTATTACTCAAAGCCTCTTACAGAGATTTCAAGAGTATCTTCCTGGACTGGTTTAGCATGGCTCATATTCACTGTGGCTAGGCTAGAAAATTCCACCATCCACAGTGCACCTGGGAGCATCAGCCTGGTTTACCTAAAAGGCAGCAACATCATCCTTGATTTATTCAGCTCAGGTTAGGTTTCATCTTCTGAACAATTTTGACCATTATTTTGTTTTGTTTCATTTTTGCCACTGACAGAGTAATGACTAATTAGATAGTAACCTGGGCTATTCAATATTCTGTTGTGTTTTGTTTTGTTTTCCTTAGGGAAAATTAAAAGGATACATCCCTATAAATAAGACCTACATTTGATCAACTTTAGGGGACTTCTATAGTGGCAAAGTAAAACAACAACTTTGAATAAAAAAGGGAGTTTACCTCATTGGATATTTTTCTAAAGGGATATACTCAAGTTTAAACTTATTATATTATAGCCCACCTCCGATTTCAACATTGAAATACAAGATGTTTAATAGCCTCACTCTCTCTTTCCTTACCCCATCGCATCACCAGTTTCATTAAGATCGTCAGTTGCAGTTACCCCATACCTCAAAAACACTAGAGGGTAGAACTGAAAGACAGTATTTTTATCACTTTGGAAAATGCTATTATACACTTGTACACATTTTAATTTGAAGGGGTTGGCCTTTGGAATTGGAAAGATTTTGCCAGATGTCCAGCCACATAACAAGAGAGGCATTAGTATTCCTATTTTTTAGATGAAGAGTCAGAGGACCATCTAAAGTCTCACAGTTAAAGAGTGGAGCCAGGACTCAAACCTAGATGTTTCTTATTTCAGAGTCCATGAATAACTTAAAATTAACTAATTGTTTTTACTTTGTATTGAGGAATAAAGAAAAGTTTTTTTTTTTGCGGTATGTTAGCATATCCTGGGTTTCTGCTTATCTGCATATTTGAGTGGTTCTGTAAGAGGACGTTTGCAGGTTTATTATTCAAAACATGCTTTAAGATTCTTCAATGAAGAGGCTAAACAAGTTTAATTACAGTCTCTGTATGAGATTCCAGAAGGAATAGTCAAGAGATTGTACATGCTATATACTTTAGTGGGGTCTGGAGAGGATGATTACAGAATATAGCATTCTATATTCTGTATCAATTAACACAAAAGACCAAATCAGACCAACTATTCCAACTTCAGAATTGAAGTCCACATATTTCAGCGAATAAAAATTTAGCAATTGTTTTCTATTAAAATTTCATGTTTTCAACATTACTTAATCCTAACGGTTATATGAAACCATCATCTCATATTAAGTAAACTAATTTCTATTCTTTCTGGGAAGAAAAATAATAAAACCTCAGCCGCATTAATGCTAACGGCTTATCAAGAATATTTAGAATAAACACAAAATTGTTATGATATTATTTTTGTAATTTCATGGCAATATAATAAGGATTAGTATATGAACACTAGACTATAATAGAGAAATTAAAATCAATCTCATATTTGCACCAGATAAACCTTTGAAAATAGGTTAAAATGCTCTCTTAAATATCATAATAATTGGAATGTATGAATATTTTTTCTCCTTGAAGTAAGTCCCACTTATCAGCCTATTACAGAAGGTAACAATTATGTTTTAGGTATAGGAAGATTGAAGACACCAAAGTCAAGAAATGAAAAAAAGAGCTCATAGTCTTTATATTATAATTTTTTTTAAGTCATCACCTGCAGCCCTCTGGGAAGACCTGCTACCCACCAGGAAGAACATGAAGAAAAAGAGGCTCAGTTTCTCCCAATGTTTGCTGTGTCTTGCCTGAACTCTTAACTCCGCTTAAAGAAGTACCTTAGATCCTGCGTTTTTGGTCATCAGATATACTAATTCTAAATATTCTTCTTGGTGTTTCTAATACTTGTAAAATATGATTTACTCTGCTTTAGCTCTGGGGTAGCCATATTTCTTAGATAGGAATTCATGTGCTAATGTCAACCCAATTGATATGGTTTGGCTCTGTGTCCCCACCCAAATCTCATCTCAAATTGTAATCCCCATGTGTCGAAGGAAGGAGGTGATTGGATCATGGGGTCAGTTTTCCCCATGCTATTCTCATGATAGTGAGTGAGTTCTCGTGAGATCTGATGATTTTATAAGGTAGTTGTTCCTGGTCTTGCTCGCTTTTTTTTCTTGCTGCCTTGTGATGAAGTTGCTTGCTTCCCCTTCACCTTCTGCCATGATTGTAAGTTTCTTGATGCCTCCCTAGCCATGTGGAATTCTGAGTCAATTAAATCTTTTTCCTTTATAAATTATCCAATCTCAGGGAAGCTCTTTATCGCAGTGTGAAAACTAACTAATACACCAATTCATACGTCATCTTCAGTAGGGTGACCAACAGTCCTGGTTTTCCTGAGACAGTTTGGATATTAGCACTTGAAGTCTCATGTCCAAGGAAATCCTTTATACCCAGGCAAACCAGAATGATTGGTGACTGAGCACTTTTCGATATCCTATATCTACTGGATAAGAGAGGATGCGGGAAGTTCTGAACATTATCTCCCAAATGAAAATTTATTTTAAAAAAATATTCTATTAGTAATAGTACTATATATTATGGTATTTATGTACATACATTAGTTGCTTGATAATTTTAGTCTTATGATTTGATGATAAAATAAATGATTATCATAAATTGTATTTTAATTTTTTAATTTTTAATTTTAACAATTGTTTCCATTTGAAAAACAAGAAAACATGGGTCTCAGAAATTAAACTAAAATATCATACAAACAAAGATTGGTTCTCCAACTCTCATGTAGGAGAGGAGATTTGCCAAGTAATTTGAACATCCAAAGGATGTTTGGACCCTGTTCTTATAATAAGGACCAGTAACTTTATTTTATCTATCTATCTATCTATCTATCTATCTATCTATCTATCTATCTATCTATCTATCTGAGAAAGAGAGCCTGGAGAATGTGAATGTCTAATGGTCAAGGGTGGAGATGAAAAACTCCAAATCATTGCTCTGAATTTTTACTACGTTCTTTGTTTAGTAAGCAGTTTATTATTTCTCCTAGGAAACCATTTTATTTAATCTTTTGGAAGCAGTAGCCTACCTTTATTTGTTGCAAAAGAAACACATAGCTGTACATCTGGTATCTAGAAACAAAACTTGTTACTTGTGAAGAACCTCAAAACATCCATTCATTTGAAGTTACATCGATGGACCACTCTTTCCAATCTTAAGATACATTCAAGGCCAGGAGAGCAGAAAATCCTGAACTGTAGTGTTTCATGAAATAGAATTGGCATTCAAAAGGACATTTGAAATTCTAAAGAATTCTTTCATTAAGCGAAAAGCAGATTGGTATTTGAAAATATCTGAAAATATAATAATGATTAAATTACTTTAGTAAATGTAATGAGAAAACCTTGAGACTTTATTACCATATATTGGATTCTGCCAAGCCTTTTTCTTCCCTAGAGTGCATAAATAAAAATAAAACGAAATAAATTATGGGGAGGAAACCTCAGAAATTTTAGTGAAGTTAAATTGGCTTTGATTTTAGAAAAACGTAGGCTTGCCAGGCAAAATAAAGCAACAATCTCAGGTATTTATTCATTTTAGTATCCTCTTTCTCAGATATACCTTACTTATAAAACATAATTTTAGTTACATAGTTATAAAGAGTAATTCTAACAAAATTCCTATGTTCCATATGTGCTCAATTGTAAATATGTTACAAACATTATTATTTAGTACATATGGTGTTAAATATAAAACAGTGGCACATGTAATGCATGCATGAGTAGTAAATTTTTTTTTATTTTTTATTTTTTTAAGGACATATTTTTAATTTTATCGTTTCTAATACCACTAACCACAATCATTTTCTTTATTATTATTATTATTATTATTATTATTATACTTTAAGTTTTAGGGTACATGTGCACATTGTGCAGGTTAGTTACATATGTATACATGTGCCATGCTGGTGCACTGCACCCACTATCTTGTCATCTAGCATTAGGTATATCTCCCAATGCTATCCCTCCCCCCTCCCCCCACCCCACAACAGTCCCCAGAGTGTGATGTTCCCCTTCCTCTGTCCATGTGATCTCATTGTTCAATTCCCACCTGTGAGTGAGAATGTGCAGTGTTTGGTTTTTTGTTCTTGCGATAGTTTACTGAGAATGATGATTTACAATTTCATCCATGTCCCTACAAAGGACATGAACTCATCATTTTTTATGGCTGCATAGTATTCCATGGTGTGTATGTGCCACATTTTCTTAATCCAGTCTATCATTGTTGGACATTTGGGTTGGTTCCAAGTCTTTGCTATTGTGAATAGTGCCACGATAAACATACGTGTGCATGTGTCTTTATAGCAGCATGATTTATAGTCCTTTGAGTATATACCCAGTAATGGGATGGCTGGGTCAAATGGTATTTCTAGTTCTAGATCCCTGAGGAATCGCCACACTGACTTCCACAATGGTTGAACTAGTTTCCAGCCCCACCAACAGTGTAAAAGTGTTCCTGTTTCTCCACATCCTCTCCAGCACCTGTTGTTTCCTGACTTTTTAATGATTGCCATTCTAACTGGTGTGAGATGGTATCTCATTGTGGTTTTGATTTGCATTTCTCTGATGGCCAGTGATGGTGAGCATTTTTTCATGTGTTTTTTGGCTGCATAAATGTCTTCTTTTGGGAAGTGTCTGTTCATGTCCTTCACCCACTTTTTGATGGGGTTGTTTGTTTTTTTCTTGTAAATTTGTCTGAGTTCATTGTAGATTCTGGATATTAGCCCTTTGTCAGATGAGTAGGTTGTGAAAATTTTCTCCCATTTTGTAGGTTGCCTGTTCACTCTGACAGTAGTTTCTTTTGCTGTGCAGAAGCTCTTTAGTTTAAGTAGATCCCATTTGTCAATTTTGGCTTTTGTTGCCATTGCCTTTGGTATTTTAGACATGAAGTCCTTGCCCATGCCTATGTCCTGAATGGTAGTGCCTAGGTTTTCTCCTTAAGCTGATAAGCAACTTCAGCAAAGTCTCAGGATACAAAATCAATGTACAAAAATCACAAGCATTATTATATACCAATAACAGACAAACAGCCAAATCATGAGTGAACTCCCATTCACAATTGCTTCAAAGAGAATAAAATACCTAGGAATCCAACTTACAAGGGACGTGAAGGACCTCTTCAAGGAGAACTACAAACCACTGAGGAATGAAATAAAAGAGGATACAAAGAAATGGAAGAACATTCCATGCTCATGGGTAGGAAGATTCAATATCATGAAAATGGCCATACTGCCCAAGGTAATTTATAGATTCAATGCCATCCCCATCAAGCTACCAATGACTTTCTTCACAGAATTGGAAAAAACTACTTTAAAGTTCATATGGAACCAAAAAAGAGCCCACATCGCCAAATCAATCCTAAGCCAAAAGAACAAAGCTGGAGGCATCATGCTACCTGACTTCAAACTATACTACAAGGCTACAGTAACCAAAACAGCATGGTACTGGTACCAAAACAGAGATATAGATCAATGGAACAGAACAGAGCCCTCAGAAATAACGCCGCATATCTACAACTATCTGATCTTTGACAAACCTGAGAAAAACAAGCAATGGGGAAAGGATTCCCTATTTAATAAATGGTGCTGGGAAAACTGGCTAGCCATATGTAGAAAGCTGAAACTGGATCCCTTCCTTACACCTTATAGAAAAATTAATTCAAGATGGATTAAAGACTTAAACGTTAGACCTAAAACCATAAAAACCCTAGAGTAGTAAATTTTATGTTAACTTTAAGTGAAAATACTTTTCATAATTTTAGAACCAGAAAAAAGGCTACAGGAGGTATCTGTTCAGATGGGTAAAAGCATGAAGAATTATGTAAATGTGCAGTTTCCAAACCTTTGCAATTGAAAACAAATATAAACACATTTATGTATATGCTTATGTACACATACATGTATATATGTGTACATGCATATACGTATATGTTAGCTATAAAACTCTTGAAAAATCTCTTATGTAAAGAAGAAAATTATAAACATTTCTGATCTTAGGTATAGGTAAGCTTTTTAGATATTTGGATTATTTGGAATAACAGCCTTGACCCTTGTATGCAGTCATTTGTATACTTTTGAGAAAATTGGGATTATCTTAAACTCACAACTTAAAAATATCTTTTGTTAAATAGCAAAACATTAATATTCCCCATGTCATTATTCTTTATGTAGTACATTTATTGTTTTATTACAATTGATGATAAATTATAAATAATTATATGAGGAACATCTCATTGAGTACATTTTTAGACACTTCCATACTCCATAATTAGGTCATTAGAAGAAGTTTTGGTAATTAGCATTGATGCAAAAGTCATGCTTCTTTTACTCCTTTTATAAATCTATGGTTTTTAAGCTTTACTGTACATCAGAATCAACTGGTAGTTTTGTAAAAACACATGTTGCTGGGCCTCATCCACAGAGTTTCTGATACAGTACATCTGAAGTAGGATATGAGGATATTCATTTCTAACACACCAATGCTGCTGAGCCAAACCACTTCTCAAAGTGCTGAGCCACTTTGAGAACCACTGTGACATATATAGCCAAATGCTAAAAGCCAAATCATTTAAAAGAGTAGTCATTGTAATGTTAGCACTTGTTGATTGAGAAAATATGTGCACACATATGATTCATGGATCCATTGCAATGACACTGAGGTCCCTTGAGGCAGGTATAGGGTTCCTGTATCACAGGTCATTGATTTTCTTCAAGTTGATTTCAAAACAAAACAAGTCTTCATTTTTCAGACTTTGATATTTTGCTATTGCCTTTTGAACACCAAGTTTGTTTGCTGATGAATAAATATTTTGAGTTAGCTTATGGTGGTGCTGTGAGGCACAGTTAATTTTCAGCGTTGTTACCAATTGTGATTACTAGAGAAGTATATTTTGTATATAAAACAGAATTTGTACAAGCATGCATATATTTCATTGCATTAGGCTTTGAATAGAGAATGAGAAAACAGTGCAAGTACAAGAATAAGAAGTATAAGTATATGAAAAAAGAACTATACTGAGTCAAAAGTGGAAATAGGAATGTCGAAAGTGAATATGAATATATACCCTCTACTGGGTGTGCATTGGGCTGAAGTGATTGGCTCTGTGCAATTATGAAACAACAAAATAAGGCACATGTGCATGTTGCAAATATAACATCAAATGGTGTCAGAGATTTGGCTTTTGTTTTCATGTGTAAAGGTCTCTAAGAAGAAAACCCTAGAAGAGAGGAAATAATAGGTTTCATGAGCCAAATACCAGCCCAAATAATAAACAAGTTATTTATTATTAATGGTTGGGCCAGATCTCTTACATATTCCACCATCATTTTCCATAGTTCTCTTCTTCGAGTGAGACCTTCTCTGATGAAATGGAGACTCTAGTCTGGAAGGGTAACAGGCCTTCTAACTCCCTATTTCTTCAATTTGCAGATGCCTGCACAGGCCCCATCTGATATATCAATCTAATCATTGTGAATAAACCGGAAACTTGAGAGTGATGGCTGGGCTTGTTAAGACAGGACCAGTCATGTTAATTCACCAGTTCTTTGCCAGAAGCTTACAAATCTTTTGCTGTGCAAGTGTTCAAGAAGGGGAAGAATGAGCAAAACTTTGTCATCTCCCGTTTTATAATGCAGTAATGTTTCTCATTAGCTGTTTCAATCAGTTATAATTAGCCAATCTAATTAGTAATTCCTCATACCTAGGTGATGGACTGAGACCAGGGGAGTGCAGAGAGCCAAAAAATTAGACTGAATTATCTCATGTCTCTTTGGCCTTGGGAGAAATATTAGAATAGCGGAAATCACCACTGTCCAGTCTCCCCACCCAATGCCCCACACAAACACAAGCCCACAATTATGTCTAAAGAGGAAGGTGCAATCAGGTGCTTTATAAAATTTTAACTCTCTCGTAGTAAAGTCTATTCAGCACTTTCATAAAAAACAAAATTAAGAATGCCTGATATTCTACGTCTGTACAAATGTGCTCCTAGAAATGAAAAAATGTCAAGAGCTTTTTGAGTCAAAGTTGGGAGGAAGTAGGGGTCAAACTAGCAAAAGGAGAATATTTTGATACATCCTACACACAAATTGTACCCCAACCCTGGCTATCTAACTGGATAATCAGATCAAGAACAGAGCATGTGCATGCTTCAGGCACTGATATGCTAGGACAGTGCCTTACACAAAGAAAATATTTTTAGGTTGGCCTGAAAAGTTGTATGAAAATCCGATCTGATTTACAAACTAGGGGACGGGGCCAACATAGTTAATAGAAAAAGGTAGTTGGTTAGCTTAATACAAATTGTTCTAGGCTTAAATATGGCAACATGCTAATATCATCTCAGTACCTGGCCATAATACATTTTTAATCTCTTTTGAAAACATTTGCCAAGAGAGTATGTGCAGTGTCCTTTGTGTGCTTGAGAATCAAGAAAATAAGTGGACTGTGAGTAATAATTATGCCTCCCCCTCTCATCATGTATTGATTTAACATTTACTCAGCCTATAGCAGTATTCTCAAAGTGTGGGTCATGTACTGCCCAATGATTTTAGGTATTAAGTGAGAAGAATTTAGGTGGCACATAGATATAGCATTATAGACTTTGACTCACCTAAGAGAAAACATATTCTAGAAATAATCAATAGACATTAAAGAGACTAAAAGGGCATGTCATATTTCATAGCTGCTGTGACTTTCACATCAAATTAATACTTGCTACTCTTTCTCTGTCTCTCTCTCTGTGTGTGTATATATATATATATATATATATATACACACAGAAAGATATAAATATATATATCTCAACTAAGTTGTCTGACTACGTGTTCAGAGCCTTAGACAGGCAACAGAAACAGAAAGTCAAAATAGTACTTTTGTTCACAATGTATTTATTTTTATGATTATCTTCCTTTTATATTACTACTGCAAAAATAAAAGTGAATAGAGTGTCTATTGGCCTTAACATTTCCTTTTGAAACACATTTTTATAAGTGAAAATTGATTTTGATTACAGAAAAAGAAATAAATAATGAACAGTGCAAGTAGTTTAAAGAAACCACAAAAAAAGAGTAATGTATAAAAATTAACTTTGGGAAATTTTGTCCTATATATATTCAAATTATCTCTTAGAATAGCTAACAGGCATCTCAAAATTAAAACAGCCAAAGCAGGATTGATTCCTCATCCTTTCTACCCCACCTGTCAAGTTTTCTCAGTTCTTTCCCTTCTTAATCTTCTGAATTGCCATTCATGCTGCTCAAACTAAAAATCTAAAGTTAATCTTGAGTCTATTCTTATCTTCATCTCCACAACGAATGTTCCAGAAAGTCCTATTTAATCTACCTCCAAAGCAATCTGAAACCATCCACTTAGTTCCAGCACCACAACTGACACCTGGATCTACCTCCTAATCACCTGGTGTGGCCTGACTCCCAGTTTCCACTGTTACCTGCCAGCCTGCACAATGCATGTCCTATACAGCATCGGTGATAGCTGAGAATATAATTCAGACCCCCACTTTTCTCCGTTGACTTCTTAGTACCCAAAGAATAAAATGCAAACCATTCATGGCCTCTGAAGCCCTATTTAATCTTTCCCTACCTCTCAGACTTCATCTCTGTCCTTCCCACCAGCTTTCCCTCATCCACCATGGTTTTACCTCCTTAACATCAAGCAGTCCAAGCTTGTTTCTATCATTGAGTCTTTGCAGCTGTCTGTATTTCCTTCCTCGCAAAGTTTTATTCACTTATTTCTTCTTATCATTCAGATTTCACTTAGATTTTGCCTCTACAAAGAGGCTTTCCCTGGCCATAACATCGAAACTATTTGACAAATAATTTGCTTTTAAATTGTCCTACTTAATGGTCTGTATAACACAAATATTTTTTTCTTGGGCATTTATTTGTTTGTTATCTATTTCTTCTACTAACACAAGAACTCCAAGGAAACAGTACCCTAATCTGTCTTGTTTGCTGTGGAACAGAACCTGACACATAATAATAAGAAACACTCAGTCATGATTAGTTTTTATTATTACCATGCTGTTATTGTCATTGGGTTTTTTATTTGACCCCCTAGAATGGCCTATCTTCTAAAACACATTAGTGAATAAATGTGTTTTGGGGAAATGTATTTGTTCTCTACGTTCCTGTAACAAATCAGCATAAACTTAGTGGCTTGAAAAAACATAGATATAGTATCTCACACTTCTTCAGGTGAAAGGTCTGTTGGGTTAGGCTGATTTCTTAGCTCACAGTCTCACAAGACTGAAATCAAGGTATTGGCCAGCTTACTCTTTAACTGGGGGATCTCAGGAAGAATTTGCTTCAATGCTTATTCAAGCTCTTTGCAGAATTCAGCTCCATATGACTATAGGACTGAGGTCCCTATTTACTTGATTGGCCTGGGATTGTTAGACCATAGATGCTAGCTGTGTTCCCTTGCTCAAAGCTAACATAACTGGCCTTCTCATCTTCACATCTATCTGCCTTAATTCTCCTCTGTCTTCCTCTTCTTTTTATTTAGGACTGACTCCAGCTAGAGAAATGTATCTGTCTGTATGGGCTCAAATAATTACATTGGGCCCACCAGGGGAATCTCCCTATATTTAAAGTCCATAATTTAATTCCAACTGCAAAATCCCCTTCACTATGTAAAATAACATATTCATAGGTGTAATGGTAGGGAGTGAAGTTCATGAGTACCAAAATTCTACCTACTGCAGGAAGTTTCCATTTGAGAGGTCCATCGATCCAAACTTTATTGATAAATCCAGCTCCTGGCATTGTCAGGTAGGGACTGGACCACTTGCCTCACGGCCACAAGATGACTGATGCAACTTTAATCATCATGTCCACTTTTAAAGGCAGGAAGATATGTGGGTTGAGGAAGCTATAGAAAAAAAAAAAGCGTTTTCCTGAAGTGGATCTCTTTTCATCCCTCTATCCCATAAGACTTTTCTGTATGTTTTACAGATGAAACTGGTACACGAATATTCACAGTTGTAAAAGAGGTCAAATAAGGAAATAAATGGCATTTTCCAGTTTCTATTGTAAAAGACTAGCAAGAGAGAAGGAAATTGGTGATAGCTATTGTTCTATTTCTCTGTTTATCACAAATATACTAAGGAAGAGAAATATAAAACAGTTCTGGTTATATTTATTAAGAAAAAAAGTCAGCCAACATTTGCCAAGTTTCCCTTTCCAAGCAGAATTTATTTATTGATGGGATTCTGGGTTGTGTTACTTGCTGCTTTAATATTTCCATCTATTAAGAAGGAGAGCAATTTTTTCCATGCTCTTACAGATGAGACAAGTCCCTTGGAAACTGAGAAGGCATGGGATGATTGACTTCTGGACTGCATTCTTATTTTATTGAGATGTTAGCATGCCACTCATTGGGAAAGAGACTGCTAAATGACATTCACATTTACCAGACAGACTGTCAAGGAATATTCAGTGTCATTCCCTCTCCAGAATATAAAGAGTTTCAGGTTTGACGTTTCAAAAGAATTTGGCTCACACCATGTAAGCTCCCTGTGTGTTTTCCTGCTTGGAGTAAGCACGGTGCATCTTTAATTTCTCCTCTGAAAAATCTACACATTGCCAAAAAAGTCATTTTCAGTTTGCTCCGTTTAACTGCGTCTCTTCACCATTATTGGAATTTTTTTTTCCTGACATTACATGTTTGACCTGCTGGAACACAGTGAATAGGAAAAATCCAGTTAGAAGTCATATATGCAGGCTTAAGGCAAGGGATTTTATTTATAGACTTCAGCATTCTCAAATCCCTTAGAATTTGTAAAACATGAAGACGATGATCACATCTTTTCTGTTAGAAAAAAAGGAGCCTTCAAAATACTCTAAATTCTGAGGCTATATTTAAAAGTGATATTAATTTCTAAGACAGAGATTAAATTTGAATCTATTACTAAGAAACAAAAACAACCTATATTCTATTTCTCACTTTATACTATTTTTTCTCACTTATTTTATTTAATTCTTGCAATAACACCATGGTCTAAAAACATGATTGCTATACCTATGTTGTAGATTAGGGGTCTACGGTACTTAGTCTGCTTAAGGTCCATAAAAAATATCATAACTGGGTGGCTTAAACAACATAAATTTATTTTCTCCTAGTTCTGGAAGCTGGAAGTCTGAGATCTGGGTGCCAGCACAGTGAGTTTCTGGTGAAGACTCCTCCCTCTGGTTGCAGATGGCTGCCATCTTGCTGAGTGTTCACATGACCTCTTTATGTGAGCACTGAAAGAAGGCAAGTGAACTTTCTGGTGTCTCTTCTGACAAGGGCAGATAAGTCCATCATGCGGCCCCAACATTATGACCTTATCTAAGCCTAATAACTTCTCAAAAGCCTCATCTTCAAACACTATCACATTGAAGATTAAGGCTTGGTTTATGAATTTTCAAGGGCACAAACATTCAATCTATAATAGGAACAGACCAGCCAAGTATCTTGATTACGATCACACAGCTAATAAGAATGCAGCCAGCATTCAAACCCACAGAGTCAGACTCCAAAATCCTTATTCTTAGTAATGGATAATGTAGCCTCTTTGATGTTCTATAACCATGAGCCTTAGTAAGTGAAATAAGAAGACATGGATATAATGGATCAATGTTTGTATGGAATTATGAACTCAGAATTATCTTCATTCAACATGTCCCACCTGTTAGCTTATTCTGGGTGTTTCTATGAGGATGTTTTTGGATGACATTAATATTTAAATGCCTGGAATGAGTATCCCAGACTGCCCTCCATTGTGTGGGTGAGCCTCATCTAGTCAGTTGAAGACCTGAATAGGAAAAACCACTGATTCTCCTCTGAGTAAGAAAGAATTCTCCTACCTGATGACCTCCTATTAAGGACCTCAGCTTTTCCTGGTTCTATAACAGGCTTCCAGCTTCTGACTTGAATTGGGATATTAGCCCTGCAGATTTTGGACTTGCCAGTCTATATAATCTCATGAACCCATTTTTTAAAATAATCAATCAATAAATCCCCCTTTTCTCTTTCTAGATAGATAGATAGATGGATAGATATAGACAGATAGACAGATCGATCCCATCAATATTGTTTCTCTGGAAAACCCCAGAATAGTGTCATATTTCTTTTAGGCTGAGAGTTGTCTGAGTCCTTAGAAGTTGCACACAGATGTCTTTTTAGAAAAGACCTAGGGCAGAAATGGACAATATAAGTGATGCAATTCAGATGAATGTGTCACCAAGTTATACCTAGAGAAGCTGGTTTGCTACAGCAAAAGTTAAATTCAAATAGCTGGACTGGAGAAGCTGTGAGATGGGGCACTAGAGGCATCTGGCACATTTGCTTATAAAGAGAAGTTATGTAGAAGAGGTTAAGCAAATCACAAAAGCCCTTTCATTCTTCTGTATAAAACTGAAAAAACTAATAATTTCCTTGCCTATTTTAGTTTTATTTTCTTTTCCAAAAATTTAATTCTCAATTCTATTGAAATTTTGAGTAAAAGGTCCACTCTGGATGTCAGAATGGTTGAAATTCAGTATCATCAATGGGTGGAAAGAAAGAAAAAGCAAACAGAATATGATGTTTCTTTGTCTTTAATGACAGAATTTTTATGCAATGCATGATTTATTAAAGGAATTTGAGCTCGTTAAATCAGGACAAGAGAGAATGAAAATTCATATCCTGTTTATAATGAAGCTTTGAAAATGATGCCAATTCATCAAACAGTCACTTGATGAATATTTATTAAGAAGCTACTATACTCCAGGAATGCTACTATGTCGGATACATTAGTGAATTAAATAAATATACTTCCTACCCTCGTGCAGTTTGCCATCTAATGTGGGGTACAAATAACCTACCATGTGAACAGTCTGCTGGGAGACAAGAGGGTTAAGGAAAATTCTCCCGTAAAAATATCATAAGACCTTTGTTCTTAATGAATATAGGGTTTTAATAAGATTCACTTATGTGCAAAATGTCAAGTGCCAGACACATTCTCTTTTAGCTTAGATCATGGGAATATAAAGTCAACAGACACAATAGTTTAAAAAAAGGAAGGAGGAAAGGAAGAAAACAGCCTTGAATCTTAATACCCACAGTCAATTCTCACTGGAAATTAGAATCTCTTTCCAAAAATTAATCTATCTTATGATGATTTACACAAAAAGAGGGTTTAGTGATCTCACCTCTTACCAGTACCTCCTCTAGTGCTTCATGATAAAGGGAGGTTAGTCACTGCCTCTTCTGCTTCTATACTTGCTGACTTAACTAATTACTTCTCTGTGTAACTCTTATTATGAGAGAATGATTGGGCTGCAAATCACCCTTTTGAGCAAGGCTTTTATGCCAAGTCCCTTATAGGCTTCTGTGCAATTTGTCAGGAGACATTGTGTGTTGTGGCAACAGTCGGTGATGGTGTCTAATGCAATAGCCTGCAGCTACTTCAGAAGGAACAACAGTCAAAAAAATGATAGAGCTCTACACTGCGGAGACAAGATGTGTAAACACATTCTTTTATTCCTTCTTTCAGTCCACCAAAAATAAAACAAAGAAAATCAAAGGAAAAATGAGCATCTGGTTCTGTTCCAAGAATTAGAGAAAGCAAAACTTTCTTTCTTTATTTCAGGTTTTTTCTTCTCCAAAAATCTGATTCTCAATGCCATTGACTTAGGAAAATACAGCTCATTACATCATGGAGCTTCTTTTCTGTCTAGCAGGAGAAATTGACGTTGAAACACAATTTCACTAATAAATATGCACCTGGGAATTCACTGGAAGCATCTTTGCTTCTTACGTCTGGTTACAATCAATCTCAGCTCATGCAGCTCCACAGCTGTATGAGTTCCTGTATTTTCCCCAAATTTTTATGAGTTCTTGGGGTTTGCTGCCTTATTTTTCCCTCTACCTTTGTACTTCTAGGTTCTCTTATCTGATTTGCTTCCCTACTCTAATAGAAATAACATAAAAGTCAGTTGTTTCATTGATTTCTACCAAAAAATTCATTAAAATCACCATAGCCATCTTGAGGTTGATTTTATTGATGATATTAGGAGTCATGAGGAGAAGTGAGATCTTACCGGCCATGACCTTAGGCAAACTTGCTCAATCTATAATAATTTTCTTTCTCTTATCCACTATTGGTTATTCCTCCATAATAGTATTCTGATTCCATTCAAAGTAGCAGTGCACTCTCTTTCTTCTTCTTTATATATTTTTTCAAGATGGAGTCTCGCTCTGTCGCCAGGCTGGGGTACAGTGGCACTATCTCAGCTCACTGCAGCGTCCGCCTCCTGGGTTCAAGCAATTCTCCTGCCTCAGCCTCCCGAGTAGCTAGGACTACAGACACGCACCACCACACCAGGCTAATTTTTATATTTTTAGTAGAGACGGGATTTCACCATGTTGGCCAGGATGGTCTTGATCTCTCGACCTCATGATCCGCCCGCCTCGGCATCCCGAAGTGCTGGGATTACAGACGTGAGCCCGGCCTACATGCTATTTCTTAACTTCTCTTTAAAATGTTTGTGGTAGGCAATTTCAAACTACACTTTTGAGTAGCTTTCTGCCCTCCAGTGTGGGCTGGAGTTATGAAGTCACTTATAATGAATAGGACATGGCAGAAATGATAAGCCATCTCTTCTGAGATTAGGATATTTTAAAAATGTTGCTTCCTGGCTGAGCGTGGTCGCTCATGCCTGTAATCCCAGCACTTTGGGAAGCTGAGGCGGGTGGATCACGAGGTCAGGAGATCGAAACCATCCTGGCTAACACGGGGAAACCCTGTCTATACTAAAAATACAAAAATTTAGCTGGGTGTGGTGGCGGGCGCCTGTAGTCCCAGCTACTAGGGAGGCTGAGGCAGGAGAATGATGAGAATCTGGGAGGCGGAGCTCGCAGTGAGCAGAGATGGTGCGCCACTGCACTCCAGCCTGGGCTACAGTGCGAGACTCCGTCTCAAAAAAAAAAAAAAAAAAAAGTTGCTTCCCTGTTGGGTATTTTCTCACATTCTTTGGATTGCTTGATCTGGGGAAGTCCTGTGGAGAGGACCATGTGAGTGAGGTTGGAAGTGGATATTCTCAGCCTTGCCAACATCACATGCATAAGCATAGATGTGAGTCCTCCGAGAGTTGAGCCTTGAGATGCTGGCAGCCCCAGACAACACTTGGACGGCTGCTTTGTAAAAGATCCTGGGCCATACCCACCAGCCAAGCCACTCTCAGATTCCTAACCCACAGAAATTGTGTAATAGTAAATGTTTATTGTTTTAAGCTATTAATTTTGGGGGATAATTTGTTATGCAGCAGTAGATAATGAATACAATGTTCAATCCAGACAACTAGATATTGTTTGAACACATTTAAGAGTAGGCATTAAGTATTGTTCAATATATTGAAGGCAGAAAGGAGAATTGAAAATTGTTTGCTCCCTCAAAGAGAATTCAATCTATTGGGTGTAAATTAGGACTTAGATAAACGGAAAGTAAAAAGAAGAAATTTAACCAAGGGAATACACCACCCTTTTTTAACTCATGTCTTTTTTTAGACTTTTTTATTCCAAAACCTATTAGTTTTATTAATGTGCTTAGCCCAAATAGTGAGTTTTATAGGAAAACCTAAAGACATTCTCTCTGTGTATCGTCAGGTAAGCAGATATCTAAATTCAGCACAACTGTAGTAAATAACTGGGACTACAATATCTTAATTTTTCCTGCTGGAATCAAGCTTATATTTGACAATGTTGTTTTGTGCCAAACATAAGAGGCTTAGCCAGCAAAAGAAAATCTCTTGAGACAGCAGTGTGTTGCAAGCCTTAACTCCGTATTATGAGGTGTTCCTTGGTTTCTTTGTTTTATTGTCTATTGTTAAATGTGTTAGATTTGAAATTACACTGTGTCACCAAGGAGCCCCCAGGCCTGGACACAACCTTGCTAACAGGCTGAACTCTGGAGCCTTATTTTTCATGATCTCCTGAGACTCTATGCTCAGACATATGAAAGCTCTTGCATATTTCCAGTGTTCCAAGACCATTCCTAACTTCCAGGCCTTAGTATATTCTGTTCCATCTGTCTGAGATGCTCTTCTCCATTTACATGGATGATATCTACTCATTCTTTAGCATTTAGGTAACACTACTTCCAGAATGCCATTCACAAGTGAATTCAGAGAACTCAACAGTTCCCTTCCCCCATAGAACCTTTTACCTGATATTAAATTATTTGCTTATATATCAGGACCAGAGGTTGCACATCAGAAAGCCCAAAAGTTATGCAGGCTATATCCAGCTCCCAAATATTTTTTTGTAACACAAACAAACAAACAAAACCCCCAAACCAAAACAAAACCAAACACCTGATATTGAATATTTTAAGAGCTTTGGCTCACAAATTCTCCTAATCCACCACTGTTTCTTATTATCCTGTAGATGGCTGGCATCCCAGTTTGTATTACTTGCCCACCTCTGCTTGATTTATATTTGAGACTTGTGACCTTTTGGAGAGAGAAACATTTTTGGTTTACTTTCATGTCCACAACATCTGTCACAGTTCTTGGCACGTTGTATGAACTCAGTAAGCAAATGAATAAATGAATGAATGAGTGAGTGAGCAGTTTATTAATTAGTAAACATTTATGCTTTAAACTCTGTGTAATTAGAGCAATGTCTTCTTTCTACCGTTGATCTCTTCAAACCGTTTGCCAGATTTGTTCTCCATAGGGAGCCATTGATCAACATTCTGATGAATGAATGGATTTTAAGTAAATCCTAGCAAGCCAATCCCACTCAGTACCTTATATATTATTTTATCTCTCCACTCATATTCCCTTTTTAAAAATTTCTCTTTATTTTGTCCTTGCAAATGAGATGTTTTGTGAGCTACTCCTCTTAAATGACTTTATTACATGTTTTCCCCTCTATTTAGAGAGAAAAACATGTTATATTCAAAACTCTTATTTACACCAACATTGCCATCAATAACCATTGTTTATTTTTTTAAAACTACCTACTATATCAGGCAGAGCTATTTTCTGGCAAGCGACAATAACTGGATCCAAAAAAAAAATTAACCATGAGGAATTGGTTGACTCACCTGACCTAAAAAGTAGCTAGTTTTAGTGATGACTCCAGGAAAAGTACAAACCTTCTAACACTTGTTTCCTCATGTCACTGCATATCAGGTTCTTCTTCAGACCAGCATTCTCACAATATAGAAGTCCTGAATACAACTGCTTAAAACTCAGTGTTCTTTCCTTTCTGCTTATACTATTCAAAGCTCAAATTTAAAATAATAATTACAAGAAGAAGCATCAAGAAAGGGCTGCTGATTGGGTCCAGTGATAAACAAGTGCTCTAGGTTGGGCCAATCATGCTGATCAGGAGATTAAAATGGTCTCATTCGTGAGTCTAGAAAGCTTTAGATTGATTGGCAAGTTCTGTAGAATCCCATGAATTGAAAAGAAAGATGTGTGTGTGGGTATGAGCCCTTCTGCACACAAAAAAATCAATAAATATCCATTATGACTACCTCTGTACCAGGAAATGTGGAAGACGTAATGTGGTCTATGCCATAGGGAAATTCACAATCGAGTTGTGACAGGTCATATAATTATAAGTAAATTGTTATTAATAAAAGTTAAATTGGGCCGGGCACGGTGGCTTATGCCTGTAATCCCAGCACTTTGAGAGGCCGAGATGGGTGGATGACGAGGTCAGGAGTTTGAGACCAGTCTGACCAACATGGTGATGACCAACATGGTGAAACGCTGTCTCTACTAAAAATACAAAAATTAGCCAGGCATGGTGGTTTGCGCCTGTAATCCCAGCTACTTAAGAGGCTGAGGCAGGAGAATCGCTTCAACCCAGGAGGCAGAGGTTGCAGTGAGCCGAGATTACACCATTGCACTCCAGCCTGGGTGACAGAGTGAGACTCCGTCTCAAAAAAAAAAGTGTTTATTAGAGTCTTAGGCTTTAGGTGAGTATAACTCACTGTTATTTTCCTGTTCTGTGTCTAGCAAATTAGCAAATATATAAAAATCTGGGAGGAAAATGGGCTATGTGTATATGTGTGTGTGTGTGTGTGTGTGTGTGTGTGTGTGTGTGTGTGATATCTATATCATCTATATCTACATCTATATCCATATCTCTGTATCTATCTATATATCACTTCTCTATCAGTTAATCAAAGTAAGGTCTCTAAAAGTGGAATTGGAGCCTAGAGATAAAAGGTTAGAAATGGGATCATCTTAGAGATAATAGAACCCAAACTGGTTATTTCATGTCTGAGGAAGGAAGCCCATAAAATTTCACCTCCAGAGAGTCAAGTATGTCATTTTATTATTAGGGGAAGTATTTTTTAAGAAAGTTTTTAAGCTTTTATTACAAACAGTTCTCCTTGTAGATTCTCTTAAAGGCTTCAATGACACCAGTCTCCTAATTTATACAAAACCCAGGTTTATGTGTACTGAGAGCAATAAAAAAAGAGCTTATACAATTTCACTTATGAAAACTTGGCACTCAAGAGTAATCCTGAACTTCTCTTCTTCCCTCACCCTTCATTCAAGACTTCACCAAATCCTGTACATGAGTGATTCTGAAGAATGCAAAGAAGAGTTCCTCACAACAAATAATTGTTTACCTCAAAATGTCAATAGTTCAAAGGATGAGGCACCCCTTTGCAGAATTTACCTCAGAAGAATATGTCCAAATATGTCCAGTACTCTTTGACTCCATTGCTACCTCATCTCTCCCTTGAACCATGTCCATCACCTCCTAGTTGGTTTCACTAACTCCTGTCTAGTACCCTGAAGCTCATTCTTTATAAAGCAGCCAAAATGAACTTTCCAGTCTATAATGCTGTGGTTAAAATATTGCTAAAACTTGTCCAGTGGCTTACCAACACACAGAGGGAAAGGTGAAGAAATAAGCAAATCACACAAAATCACGTCAATTGTGGTAAGGAGTTTGGCTATTATTCTCAGATTCATTCTCTTTCCCTGGCTCTTTGTCTTTGCATCACCTTTCTGTTTTAAGAATATTCCAAACTTATTCTTGTTTATGACTTTGGTACCTTTCAATCCTTCTGTCTGAAGTACCCTTTCCCTAGATATGTGCTTCATTAACTTCTTCTTGTTATTCATTTATCCAAGAGACTTTCCTTGTCTACTTTGAAATGGGCCCCTCTTCACACTCTCTCGTTGCCAATTCACCATCCATTCATAATATTTCCATATTTTAAATGTATCTTACTTTTCATCTTCATAGGCAGTATCATCTAAAATATGATGATTTCAGATCATGGTAAGATTTATATTTCCATTCCCACGCTTTAGAAAAAAAGCCCCTGTGGTGGCAGAATAATGGCCTCCAAAGATGTCCACGAGCTGGACCTGTGAATAGATTGGGATTCATGGTGTTTTAGTTCAGGTTGCAATAACAAATTTCCATAAATTGGGTGGCTTATAAACAACAGAAATTTGTTTCTCACAGTTCTGAAGGGTGAAAGTCTGATATCAGGGTATCAGCATGGTCAGGTTCTGCAGATTGCCTACTTCTCATTATGTCTTCACATGGCTGAAAGGGAGAACTATCTGGGGTCATTTCATAAAAGCATGAAGCTTCTTGAGGTCTCCACCTTTATGACCTAATTACCTCCCAAAGCCTCCACCTCCCCATATCATCATATTGGGGGTAGAGAAGATAGAATTTTAATGTATGAATTATGGAGGGACACAAACATTCTGTTACCAACCAATGGGTTCACCTTGCCTGCTGCCTAGACAGAACCAATTTATCAAGACAGGGGAATTGCAATAGAGAAAGAGTAATTCACGCAAAACCAACTGCGCAGGAGACTGAAGTTTTATTATTACTCAGATCAGTCTCCGTGAGCATTCAGGGATCAGAGTTTTTAAGGACAACTTGGTGGGTGGGGGAACCAGTGGCCTGACCAATCAGAGATGAAATCACAGGGAGTCAAAGCTGTCTTCTAATGCTGAGTCAGTTCCAGGTGGAGGCCACAATATCTGATGAGCCAGTTTATTGATCTGGGTGGTGCCAGCTGAGCCATCAAGTGCAGGGTCTGCAAAACATCTCAAGCACTGATCTTAGGAGCAGTTCAAGGAGGGTCAGAATCTTGTAGCCTCCAACTGCATGACTCCTAAATCACAATTTTAATCTTGTGGCTAATTTGTTAGTCCTACAAAGGCAATTTAGTCCCCAAGCAAGAAGGAGGTTTGTTTTGGGAAAGGGCTGTTATTATTTTTGTTTTCAACTATAAACTAAATTCCTCCCAAAGTTACTTCAGCCTATGCCCAGGAATGAACAAGGACAGCTTGGAGGTGAGATGCAAGGAAGAGTTGGTTAGGTTAGATCTCTTTCACTGTCAGTTACAATTTTGCAATGACGATTTCTTTTTTCTCTTTCTTTTCTTTTCTTTCTTTCTTTCTTTTTTTTTTTTTTTTTTTTTTTTTTGAGATGGAGTCTTGCTCCATCACCCAGGCTGGAGTGCAGTGGCATGATCTTGACTCATTGCAACCTCCCCCTCCCAGGTTCAAGCGATTCTCCTGTCTCAGCCCCTCGAGTAGCTGGTACTGCAGGTGCCTGCCACCATGCCTGGCTAATTTTTGTATTTTTAGTAGAGACGGGGTTTCACTTTTTTGGTCAGGCTGGTCTCAAACTTCTGACCTCAGGTGATCCACCTGCCTCAGCCTCCCAAAGTGCTGGGATTACAGGCGTGAGCCACTGCGCCCGGACTACAATGGCAATTTCAGTTTCATTCATTGAACATGACAAGGAAGAATTGAGGTTATACATCTCATTGAGATTGATAATCAGTTGAATTTGAGATGAGGAGATGATCCTGTGTTATCCAGATGGCACAATGTAATCACAAGGGTCTTTATAAATGGGAGAGGGAGGCAGAAGTTAGTGTCAGTGATGTGATGGAGCAAAATTCGACTGGGCATTGGTGACTTTAAAGATAGAAGGGTGGGCCTCAAACTAAGTAACACAGAAAGCCTCTAGAATCTGGAAAAAGAAAAGAAATGCATTCTCTCCTACAGCCTCTAGAAGGAACATAGCATTGCAGATGCCTTGATTTTATCCCAGTGAGATGCATTCTAAACTTCTGACCTCCAGAGCTGTAAGATAATAAATAAATTTGTGTTGTATTAAGCAAAGATTCAATAGTATACATTTAATACATTTTACAAAAGTACATTTTAAGAAAGGCATGGCTTCAAGTTATTTTCTTTTCTTTGATGAGAGACATGATTAAATAAATATTAAATATTCAACTAAAAGCAAAAAACAAAGATTATGAGGAAGAAAACAAAAAATTGCAAATACAAAAACAAGTGCAAATACTTTGAAATATATAGATAAGTGACATTGATAAAAGTATCTAGTAGCTGATTCTTTGGAAAAAAATAATTATACCTGGATATTTTAGTTTGTAAAATTAAGATAAACAACTTAGAAATAAGAAAATGAATAAAACCATTGATGGAATTGAGATTTAAATGATAAAACAATGAAATTATTTTCATTCTTGAAGTGATTGTATTTACTTCTTTCATTGCTTTTCATCAGTGTTGGATTTATATCAGTGTAATACCTTGTTTGGGGACATAGAAAAACAAAATTACTAGAGCAGATCTTAGGGCAAATTTATCCTTGAAAGGTATCATTTAAGCACCTCTCTCCTCTCCAGTGACCTACAGCTCACAATTTAAAATACATTCCTAATCTCAAAGCATAAAAAAAAAGAAAAAAAGGAAAAAATTTACAGTAACAGCACATAGGCATGCTTTCAAACAGAGGATAAAGCTTCTGTACTGAAAATTCTACAACTAAAGACAGCTTAAGAAGACTTCTTAAGTCTTGGGCAAATTGTCCTTGGCAGAGTGACAAATCCCAACAGCACATAACTTCTTAGAGTTACCCCTTAATGTTTGAACTATATTATAAACCAAGAAAATAATGACAAGACTGCAAGTCAACATAAACAAGACAAAAAAGAGGATCTAATCCACTAGCAAAGGAATTGTTCTCTGATAATAAGGAATGACTGGAAGCACTGGTTCCCTTATTGGCTCATCTGTCTAAACAGCTGTAAAGCTTATGGTTTTATTTATTCTTTTGAATGCTACTAGCTTTGAAACTCCATTGAGTAGTTTAACATACCCATTGTCTTTCTAAATTGTCACATCTTACTCCATGTGGCAGAGGGATCACCACAATGATTTGATTTCAGATTGCTGACGGTGAGTGCTTTTCTAGGCAGAAAGGGCTGAATGCTCTGTGTTTGATTGAATTATATGGCCAACCAAATCATTAGAATACAGAAGAGAAAGTCCCTAAATTGGTAGAAGATATACCCTAGGAAGATTCCTCATAACTTGTAATTAACTTAATGCCACGTATTTAGCACAATTGATGATGCCAAAAGCTGTGTGATTTGCTAGATATTAACTTGTTAAGCAATTGATTTACTCATGAAAAAGTCAGTACTGTTTTATTTCTATTTAAAACAGAAACAGATTGTTTCTACTTCTTTCCACCTGTATGCATTATATTTCATTTCTAGATACCAGTGTTTCTCCATATCCCAAGAATCTTTCAATGAGATGCTACTTCAGGGCTGCTATACAAGCAAGTCCTATTTTAGTTCTTGAAAGAGCATGTCATGTCTGGAAGTAACAGATTACAGTGGCATGTTTCAACCACATTGTTTAGGAGTTCTACAATTTATTATTGTTGATATGAGGCTTAATTACACACTAAGAAAACATAGCCAGGCCCAAAATTTCTTTAATTAAACAATATTAATACATTACATATATATATATAGAGAGAGAGAGAGAGAGCGAGACAGAGACAGAGAGAGAAAGATCAAGAGAGAGAGAATATCTTCAATGTGCAGGAGGACTTTTACCCAGGGTGCTGATAATTTTATGTTTGTTAAAATCCATGGGAAAGAAAGAATATGTGAACTTCATTCACCATTGACTTGGTACTAATTAAGTGTTGAGAACTTCTGGGTCAAAGAGCAAAAAAGAGGTGATGTGTTATAAGTGGGAGAGAAAGTCCTCCTTTGAGGGTGGGGTGTTTAATGAATATTTCAACATAGCCATGGAAAACACACTTGGACAGGCAGTTAGAAATTAAAAGATTGATTATACTCACAGGTCCTACAGACAGGTGGCAGGGCATGTGACACAAGGGGCCATATGGGAGGAGCTTCAGGGGAGCAGTTTCAACCATGCAGGAGGGGAGTCAAGAAAGAGAGTGAGGACTAGTGGGCAAGTGCCTTTACTGGGGAGTACACAAGTGAAAGGTATGAGGGAGTTTTATGAATGCAATTCAATGTCACTAGGCCACAGTCAGACTGAGGCAAGAGGAACTTGTGGCTGGGACTAGCCTTTTCTCACTAGACCATCTGGTTGTCTGGGCAGGGTGCTCACAGCCTGTTTGTGAGGCTATTGATTGAGGCATCAGGAAAATATAGAGTTGTAAAAATTTATAATACAGATGCTATCTTTGCAAAGCTGAGTCAAAAACCCTAAATATAAATCAAATTTTCTTGAAAGATATTTTATTTTCTAAAATTGCTAATTATTTTATCTGCCTCTTTAAGAAAACTAACAGATTTAAGGCTGATTGGATCATTGTTCTTGAGCACCAATATCATAAAAATAGACTTTTTTCCCCACTTCATTTTGCTATTTTCTTCTGTATTTACAGTCATATGGACATTTTTCTAAGAATCACAGTGTATAGAATAGTATTGAAAGAAAGACATCCTTGATATTTAGAAACTGTGTAACCTTATGCAAGGAAAAAATCCTCAACAAGACTTATATATCTTTATTCATCCTCAAGTATCATCAGATCTACTTTAAAGAGGTGTAATGAGGACTCAGTGAGCTAATACTCAGAAAAGGATTAGCAAAATGATAGGCACATGAAAATAAATATAAAAATATTGAGATCTCGCTGTTACTAAAAAAGGACCACAATCCTAGTCTAAAACCCTTGGGGTCAAATGTTTCAGAAATTAGAATCTTTTTGCAGATTTTAGAAAGATAATAATGAGCATATATTCTGTATTATATAGGACTGATATATTAACAATTCAATAATTTTTGAATATAAAGACAGATTTTTAAAATACTACAATTGACTTACACCCTTTCAGGTCAGGTTCTGAGACAAAATGAGTTTAGGTCAGGTCAGATTTTGCATTAATAAGTTACAAAAATGTATTATTGAAAGATTTGGGATTTCAGAATGGAAGTTTATCATATACATTATAGGAGGCAGCAAATTTTATTTTATTTCTTTTTATTTTAATTTTTTTTTTGAGACGGAGTCTTGCCCTGTCACCCAGGCTGGAGTGCAGTGGCGCGATCTCAGCGCACTGTAGCTTCCACCTCCCGTGTTCAAAAGATTCTTGTGCCTCAGCCTCCCGAGTAGCTGGGATTACAGGCGTGTGCCACCATGCCCAGCTAATTTTTGTATTTTTAGTAGAAACAGGGTTTTGCCATGTTGGCCAGGCTGGTCTTGAACTCTTGATCTCAAGTTATCCACGGCCTCTCAAATTGCTGGGATTACAGGTGTGAGTCACTGTACCTGGCCAGAGGCAGGACATTTTAAATGCCTAGCAAACATCTGGCTATACATTGGGTTGAGTGCATGTTAAAACCTCATTCCTTCTTCATATTTCCTCCTTCCTCCTCTTAAAATTTGTCCCATTCCTCACTTCCCCAGTGCTGTGGGCTCCAATCTCTGAGAAACCCTGCAGGAAAGCTCTATGTTTCAGCATGAGTTCACACAGGGTGCTGAACTTCAAAACAGTTTTTACTCTTGGAGTTTCTTGCCATTTCTTGTACAGTGTCATCTTTCAGCCATCATTTCCTACTTCCCCCTTTCTGTGAATTTTCTACTTCCTTTGACATGTTGTTGTTAACACTAGTGATGTTAGCTCCTATCTGGTGATTTTCTCAATGAGCTGAGTTGAACTTACTGGGAATATTCCCCAGCAAAAAGTTTTTTCAAATACTTCCATCCTGTTTGTTCTGATTTAATAATGATTGCAGCATCAGGTGAAGGTTTTGGTGCAAATAACACATACAACACACACACAAATGTGTATATACAGAAATCTATACCTATACCCATATATTTCTGTATGCCATAATGAATAATACATACAAACACATACATGCATACATACATACATACATACGTAATTTTCCCCTTAGGGATATAGACTCATGACAAGACTGAGATGTGTCTTCCTGACCTATATTCACTGGAAAATTATGCATATCTTAAGGGATGGGTCTGTGATTAAGCTGCACGGGAGGCAGGAGAAGAGCTACTTCCCATGTCTTTAAAATCTCCTTCCTTGAAGGGCAACTCATTAAAAACAAAACAAAACAAAACCCCAAAAACAACTCAGTGGAGATTTAAAACAGTTTAGGCATCACAGTAGATTCTATTCTGGGTCACTTTGCATACCCAAATTGTTTTTTTGAGACTATTAACAATGTCATGCTGAGCAATTTGATACACATTCAGTGGTAAAGCCTGTTACTTTTGTTTTACTGGTTTGAAAAATCATCCTCATATATATCCACCCATGGTTATAAGCCTACTTTCTTAACTAGGTAATCTTAAAGAATAACTTCTGCATGTATGATGGGGATTTTTTATTCTGGGTGACAGAACCTATTTTGCAGTTTCTATTCACACCCAAATTGTTCTTGAGGAACAATTCAGGCATTATTTGTGTGGGCCTCCCACACTCAGAATAGGTTAATAGCCAATGTCACCTTCACTGGGCTATTCTTTGGATAAAGACCATTAAGGGAAATAGCTATTTCAGTGAGTGGCATATTAAAGTTCTAGCCTAGAGCTCTGTCTGCCTCTGGTTCCAATATTTGTGAGCGTGGCTTAGTGAAGAAGCTACAGTCATACTTTCTCCAGGATGTAAATACCGGGGAATTTAGCCATAAAGCTGGAGCATGAGAAAGATCAGGGCTTGGAGTAAACCAAAAGAGGCTGAAAGAGAATGCTCACTTCTCACTACTCCATCACTTTCTTCTCTAAGTACCACAAAACCTCCCAATTTTCTGCGTGTTGTCCCGCCCTCATATCAAGCATCCTTTCGTTCTTTTCATTAGCTCTCCAGTCACCCTTATTCATGAGTTTATTAGTTCAGGCCTGGAATCTTGCCTCTGAACTGATTTCCAGCCCCCATGTACCATTTCTTAATATCTATGCCCATAAAATGTTATTTTAGAGTTAAGTGCTAGGCAAAGCTTTGTTTCTCCCTAAGGATTTGTATGTTTACTGCATGTAGATTATAAGAATGATAAAACCAATTATCTTTCTCTTTTAATTTTGGCTGCCTGGAAGCTCAGAGCCAAATGTTTGGGTTAATCAAGAGTCTAAAGACTTACTCTAACTACTTTTTTGGCGTTGTCTTTATTTCTCAGTCCAGGTCTAGAGTTCACATTATAATGCTTTGCTTGCCTTTCTTGGCCTAGATATCTTATTTTAACTCACTTGCCCTGTTCCCATTTTGACTTTGGCTGAATGGAACTGAATTAATCATAATCTTGTGTTCATATTGTATTTACATTTTATTTTAAAACATTTTTTCTAATTGCAGTTAATCTTATAATACAATAAATTCTTTGTGGAATGAGGCGAGGTATAAATAAATAGCTAGTAAGTGGTGCCTTTGCAGCAGGAAGGAAAATGAAGATAAGAGCAGGACTAGGAGGAATAAGATCTAATTACTCTGCATGACAAACTGGGATGAGGATGAGGTGACATTTGCTGAGCACAAGGAAAGGAAAGAGATGTGGGGGTTGGGTAAGATAGAAAATAAATCACAGTGACCATGGATAAATTATCTGTGTGGGAAATACTCATCGATTTGTAGGAACAGTGAAATGTTATATTAAATATGAGGGTTTTCTGCCCTAAAAAGAAATTTCCCTTTGCTACAGCAAATGTTTACTAAATTCTGCTACAATAGCCTGGAATTAATGGCACATGGAAGAAAAGATGACTTCCACTGTGTAACTTGACAGATAATTGAGATAGGATGGCAAGACTACGAAAGTTGGGATTGTTAAAAAATAATAAAGCAAATGGTAACGGTGACTCACAAGGAAATAGTGAGTCTTCCAGTATATGAGACAGGGCTTGAGTTACTTCTCTCTTCCTTCTTGCCATTCTTTCCTTTTCCTTTGCCCTTTCTTTGCGTCCTCCTTTTTTTTTTCATTCCTATTTTTCTCCCTTCTCTCTTTCCTTCATTTTCTTTCTTTATTATCTTCCTTCCTCCCTTCCTTCTCAGAGAGTGTTTGACTGACTTCTATGTGTCAGAGATTCTGCTAGGCATTTAGATCCCTAGGAGTAAAAAAGAAATGCACGGCTTCTCACATCCTGAAGCTTATATCTTAGTATTAGGTTGGCGCAAAAGTTATTGCCATTAAAAGAAATGGCAAAAACCGCAATTGTTTTTGCACCAACCTGACAGATAACATATAAAAAAAATTAAATAAAAAATAATGATTAGAATTTTTTATTAATAATATAATAAAATACTATAATAAAAAATTCAAGAGGAGAGAAAGAGAGAGAGGGGATGAAAGTTATTTTTGTTGGAGAACTTAGTTCTTAAACCATAGGACTTGATAATTGAAGTAAAGGAAGGATCCTCAAAAGGCTAGAGGAATTCAGGACATTAAATCTCATTTAAGTATTTATTCTCATTAATGGTGTTACAACTGGGTGTAGGAAGGAAAGCAAATGAGTTCATTGTTGTACATTTTCTACTTGGGCTTTGGTTCCCTTATATTCTGAATTAGCTACTGAAAAGTCGATGCCTTTATGTAAAAGTAAATCAAGTAGGTTCTCAAAATATTTTAAATATAAATCTATTTGAATTTTCATCAAGAAACTAAGAATCTCCATATCACAGTCTCCTTCAACCATGCTTTCATTCAATGTATGAATCTTGAGTGTTTTAATTTTAATTTTATTATTTTAATTTTTTCTATGAAGTTTTAAGAAAATTTATTTACAGAAAATATTTTAATTGTTCCAAATTAAGTTTTTGAGCTTCAAAATTAGAAAACATTCCATTAACCCTGTCATGAGAAAGATAAGTTTTAATGATAATTTCTGATTGTTTTGTGCATTAGCCTACGAGTAGCGCCTATCAGTCTAGTGACCCTCCTGACCAAGACAGTCACTTTTACTATCACCAGAGAGAAAAACAAGGGAAAGGCTAGAATCTAAGGTTTATTTTTAGACTATGAATGAGAGCATTACCAGTTAGTACTATGTTTTAAAAACTGATGAAATAATAATTAGTAATAGCTTCCATTTTTCTACATTCAGGTATTTTGCAGACATTTACTTCATTTAATTCTTAAAAAGCCTTACAAAATAAGGATTATTGGCTCTCATTATATTAATTAAAGAAACCGAGTCTTAGAAGAATTGAGTAAGAATTTCACAGCTAAATTGTGTCAATTAGGGAGAGGCCAATTTGTGAATCTATGGCTCCAAAATTTATTCTCTTAACTACTATGCTACAGAATTGCTGTCTAGCCAAAGATATCAACAGACTAACAAACAAATAGATAAGACTCTCACAGGAGCTCCTGGAAGGTAGGTATTCAGAAAGTACTGAGGAAAGTAATAGGAAAAACTGACTATATCATAGTAATCTAATGGAAAATGGGCTGGGCATGGTGCTCATGCCTGTAACACTAGCACTTTGGGAGGCCAAGACAGGAGGATTGCTTGTGGCCAGGAGTTCGAGATTAGCCTGGGCAACGCAGCAAGACCTCATCTCTTAAAAAATAATAATAAATAAAAAATCATTAGCCAAGTATGGTGGCTTATGTCTGTAGTTCCAGCTACTTAGGAGGCTGAGGAGGGAGGATCACTTGAGCCCAGGAGTTTGAGCTTGAGCTTGCAGTGAGCTATGATTGAGCCACTGCACTGCAGCCTGGGTGACAGAGCATGACCTCCAACTCTAAAAACAAACAAACACAAAGAATAGAAAACAGAAAGTTAGATGTGTATAAAAGTCTCTGAAGATATACTTGGCATTTAGTTCAAGTTGTCATAATTTCAATCCTCATGGCACCTCCTTGAAAGTCGTTGTTATCTTGCTTTGCAGATTAGGAAATTAAATTTAGAGAAGTTAAGTGATGTGACACTTACTGGCTGAGTGAATGGTCTTCACAGAGCCTGGGTCTGTATTCTCTTCTTTAAGATGGAGAAGAAATAACTCCTTATAGAATTATTATGTCTAATGTGAGCATTAGAGGTAATTCAGATGAAATGTTTTTAGAGTAACTAGTGAATAGAAGTCATCTACTAATAATCACAATTTTTATTTATTATTATCATGAGTATCACCTGAAACTATTGCATTTTTCTCTATGTCATGCCATGGCCTTTTACAATGTGGCCCTTGTTTCTTGCCAACAGTGAGTCATCGCCCATGGCCAAATAGAACCTCTTTTTAGAGAACAGGAAACACAGCTGATATATTTGAACAATATTAGAGGACAATCTTTAGATAGATGAGAAAAATGTTAAATAGTTTAGGAAATTAAGGGACATCTGACATGTCTGTCTCAGATCCTGACCTGCAGGAAGCCTACTTGATAATGGCCCCAGTTGCTGTGTTCTAGGATCCATCAAAGTGGCGCTTCCCACAGCCTGCTCCAAGCCTGTGTCTGAGCTGGGCAAACTTGCCACTGAGAGGCACAGGACTCCTCTGATCAGCAGCCTTGGCTCCAGGACTCAGCATTGCATCTGACAGAACTTTCCTAGAACCACAGTGCAGCCTCAGACTTTTCCTAGACATTCTTCCTTTCCCTCTTGATTCCACAAGGGTTAAATTGGCATTGAGGTCTGATGATGTACCTAATCTCCGCATCTTCATTTTCCTCTCACAGGGCTTTTCCCTAATTAATCTCCTGCATATCTAACCCTCTTCTGGCATCTGCTTCTAACAAAGAAAAACGAACTATTTAGAGATTCTCAAAGGTCTTGATCTCCATCTCTCGTTATCAACATTTTTGAAAAATTTTCTTATTTTGGATAGTCTATTTTTTTTTGAAACAGTCTCACTCTGTCGCCCAGGCTGGAATGCAGTGGTGCGATCTTGGCTCACTGCAACCTCCACCTCCCGGGTTCAAGCAATTCTCCTGCCTCAGCCTCCCAAGTACCTGGGACTACAGGTGCGTGCTACCATGCCTAGCTAATTTTTTTTTTTTTTGTATTTTTAGTAGAGACGGGGTTTCACCGTTTCACCGTGGTAGCCAGGATGGTCTTGATCTCCTGACCTCGTGATCCGCCTGCCTCAGCCTCCCAAAGGGCTGGGATTACAGGCGTGAGCCACAATGCCGGCTGGATTGTCTGTTTTTTAACCAAACTGGAAAAAGACGAGGTTGTAGTAGATGACTCTTTCAATTGCTTTTTATTTTATAATTCTAGACCTACCAAATGCTCTCTGTAGTTTGGATGAACACATTGTTTCTTATATTTCAGTACTAGATCAGAGTGTCGTTAAATGGTTGTTCCATGCGTAAATTATTCCTTGATCTAATAAAGATTGTTTCATCAAAAAGTAAACACTGCTTCGATTTTTGGCTCATAGGTACCAACGTTTGTAACATAAGAACAACAGCAACAAAACTCAAGTCTTTGAAGTTTGACTATTATTAACACTTCTGTTCCAAAACTACTTATATAATTATATATTAAAGCATGCAATTCTTTCCTAATTATTTTTTTCTTCCCATTAAAAGTACTTTAAAGAAGGAAAATTATATGTCCATCAAAAGCTGACTTCAAATTCAACTATTCTATTAGTTTTGAACTAGTGGCAATAGTA